>NC_000006.12:5060000-5211515 GCF_000001405.40 Homo sapiens | reverse complement strand
TAGCATCCATTTTTGTTAATGTAAGTGTGAGATGAAGCATTTTCAGTGTTTCTTAGCTTACACTTTTTTTTTCCTTTTGTAGATCGCTAAGCAAAGTAATTTGCTGAATTTATTGATGTTTGGGGTAGTGGTAGTTGAGTCTCTGAAACCATACTTATTTTTACTTTTATTTGCTATTATATGGTTCAGTGTTTGAATGTGCTGTTGTGAAATTAGAAGCTAGTAAATCATGACCAGGCCCTCTCTCATTGTCAGTCACTGCAATATCCGCTCCAGTTCCCTAGATGGTGGTTAAAACTTTAATGAAAGTGATATCTTACCCACAGTTCTCATCCTTTTACAACAGCCTGAGAAAAAGTAGGTATGTTTGAGGTCCTTTGCAGGAAAACAGATAGTGCACCCCATATCTCTCCACTTGTATGCATTTACCTTAAGTATTATTAATATTTGATAGTTTGAGAGAATTTATAAAATTAATATGCCTCTTGTTTTAGTGGAATAAAGGGAAGTCAATCCCTATCTAAGGGACATTTAAAATACATGAAAATGATTATATACTATTCACAATAGCCAAAAGGTAGAATCAATCCAAATGTCCATCAACAATGAATGGATAAACAGGATATAGTATATACATACAATAGAATATTATTCAGCCTTAAAAAGGAACAGAATCCTGCTACATGTTAGAATATGGATGAACCTTGAGGACTTAACACTAAATGAAATAAGCCATACACAAAAAGATACTGTATGATTCCATTTATATGAGGTGTCTAAAGTAGTCAAATTTGTAGAAATTGAAAGTAGAATGATGAATAACAGGGGCTGGAGGAGGAGAAAAAGGCAAATTGTTTAATTGGTACAGAGTTTCAATTTGGGAAGATGAAAAAGTTCTGGTCATGTTTCACAACAATATGAATATACTTAACACTGCTGCACTAAACGCTTAAAAATAGTTAAGATGATACATTTTATGGTTTGTGTTTTTTCCACAATAAAAATAAGTCCCTTCTTTTTCAAAACGAATTATAGCCAGTCATTGGTTTTTTTTTTTAACTGGAAGCATGAAATTAAATTCTTCAGATGCTGGTATTTAGGGATAGGAAGCTTAAGTCATTTGAAGCTTGAACTAGTGAATTTACACCCGCGAGCCCTCTGTTTTCTCATCTGTAAAACCAAAGGATTATACTGTAATTTCTAAGGCTGCTGCCAGTTCTAAAATCCCATGGTTCAACATTCACATAAATATCTGTCCCCTTCTTCTCTATTTACAGAAACTACTGATACATGTTAGACTGAATTACTCTATGCCTGGTTTTCCTTGGCCATTTTTCACCAAGAACTTAACACTACAGAGTTTAGGCTGCAGATGAACAAAGTTATATGCCAGCTATATATTTATATCATTATAGATTCCAAAGACTTCTCTTCATCTAGCCTTTCTGTTAGAAGGAAACCCAGAAAATTGAATTATTTCATTCATATTGTTAGCACCTCTGCTGTTAGCCTTCTTCCTTCCTGGTAGAAGATGTGTTACCAGTACTAGAATATATCTCTGATCAGACAGTTTTCTTCCAAAGAAAATGAAATAATAGTTGAAGAACAATAATGTAATAACTGATAGGCAAAGAGAGATTTAAATGCTTTTCCCAAGCCCCATCTTAATGTTTATACTAGTGTCTTGGTTTGATTTCTCCCTGTTCCCTGGTTGGCTTCTCAGCTATGTTCCACATCATCTGCTGGATAAGTAACACACACTGTGTCGTTTACAATTCCATTGCCCAAGGTTTCTTTTCCTAGATATTTACTGAGCACCCATTCTATGCCGTATAATTATGAAATGGGGAGTTACCATGGAATTATGAGGTCCTTCCGGCCTTGTAGAAGTTCTTTCTCATTTTGACTCTTCAGGGACCTAGCACTCTTCCCACTTCTAATGTCCCATCTGTTCGCTCATTTAATAGAACAGGGATAAAGTTTAAAAGCATACGCCAGCAGCACTTTCCCCTATACCTTTATAAATCAACTACGATTAAATCAAAGGATCAATCTACATATTTAAAAAGTAATAATAGGCTGGGTGCAATAAAAATGTAATAATAGGCTATTGTAATAAAAAAGTAATAATAGATTCACACCTGTAATCTCAGCACTTTGGGGGGCCAAGGTGGGTGGATCACTTGAGGTCAGGAGTTCCAGATCAGCCTGGCGAACATGGTGAAACCCCATCTCTACTAAAAATACAAAAAAAATTAGCCAGGTTTGGTTGCAGGCACCTGTAATCCTAGCTACTTGGGAGACTGAGGCAGCAGAATTGTTTAAACCTGGGAGATGGAAGTTGCAGTGAGCCAAAATCGCGTCACTGCACTCCAGCCTGGGCGACAGAGTGAGACTCCATCTCAAAAATAATAGTAATAAAATAAAAAGTAATAATAAACCCATCAGAGGCAAAGGAGATTTAAATACTCTGTCTTGGACTTCAATAAAAATCCTCAGGAAAGCAACATGAATTTATATACAATGACCAGAACTGCCCCCTAAGTGAACCCTATATCTTTTGGATATAAGAAGTTTTTCCAGATGAGTGGAAAATTCCCCAGCCCCCTGTCGAAGTTTAAGAAAGCAAGGCAATGAGACAGTTTGTTTAGTTTTATAGCTTGGCCCCTGTATGACATTCATTTGTTCAGTCTATTTAATATATAATTCCTCTGCAGCTATAAAAAGATGTCTTCAAATAGGAATTTGAACTAATTTCCTCCCTGCTTTTTCTAGAAATTCCAGTAAATCCTCGAGTCTGGGGCAACAGCATTCCCATAGTTGGCGTTCCTGTGGAAGGAATGTCTCTCATTTGGTTGGAGATTGCCTGTTAGTTTTGCTTGATTCCTCCGAGGATGATGTGCATAAAACAAGATTCCATTTCCTTTCTAAAAGAAGCCTGTCCCTATGCGTCTTTCATATACAACAGTTTTCCTTTAGTGTATTTCCATGTGCTGGAGTGCTCCCATAAAAGGCAGCAGTAATGCTGTGTATAGAAAACTTTTGCAAGAGTTTCATTTGGGAATTTTTATTATGATATCCATCCTTCTCCCATTTAGTCCTCATATCATTCACTGTGGAATTCCTTAAAGAACTGTTTTGATGCTGAAGCAGATATTATTAACTCTGGCAGAGAAAGCACATTGGTCTCACAGGCAAGAAGCGGAAGTTCTCAGCTCAGATGATATTTTACCTCATGATCTCAGGCAAGTTGCCTATTTGCCTAATTTACCACATCTGTAAAGAGTCAAGTTTATGATGGTGGTGGCAGCAGTGATGATGTGTGCTTGTCAGTGCTGCTTCCTTACACACACACTGTGCACCACACACTGTACTCCACACTTTGAATACGTTGTCTCAGTGTCTCCTAAGAGAAAGGAACTCTTATCCTCATTTTTTTAGGTGAGGAAATTCTGACCTGACATGCTGGGGTAATTCTCCCAAGGACACACAATTAGGAGAATGTTGGGCCCACCTGCACTCTCACTTGTTAGCCAGCTCTCAGAAGAGGGATCAGATTATGGGTGGCCTTATCTTGACAGAAGGAGACAAGACATTGAAGATGAAAGACAGTGGCAAGATGCATGTTTCCTTTTTCTAATTGTTCATTTAGAGCTCTTGTTAGAAGGTAACAGCTTACCCTCTGTAGGCTCATGAATAGCTTGATCCCTAGAGGCCAGGCTCCTTTATCACATATCAGAAAACTCTCTCTCTCTCTGCCGTCAAAAGAAAATAAATACGAAAACTACACTCCGAAAATGTGAAAGTTCAACCACCTTATTTAAGAAGTATTTGCTCAGAATTTCCCCATAGATCTGAAGGCTACAGCTCCAATTGTGCTTTTCCAGACAAGCTATCACTGAAGTACCCTTAAGTGGAAACTTTTTGATGCCTCACTGCTTGTCTTGTCCTTTCAAGTAATCAAAGTTGACTCCAGTCCTGCTTATGCAGAAGACCTTCTCCCAAGATGACAAAGGAACAGTGTCACATCTTTTAGGAAAGACAATCCAAGGGGCTCCCCCTTGTTTGTGTTAATTTGTATTTCTGTGTTGCACCCTCTGTGGTGCAGGGAGGTGATGGCCCCTTGCCTGCTGTGTATATGAGGGCGTGCACTCATTTTCTGAGCCCTTGCCTGCTGTGTATATGAGGGTGTGCACTCATTTCCTGAGCCCTTGATAGCTGCAGCTGAATTTTCTTTTCGGACTGGATGGATTTCACCTGTGTATATGTGACAGCTCATTTCATCAGTGCTGTTGGGAAGATCTCTCCTAATTATACATCTATCAGTCTAAAAAACGGCGTGGCTTTTTCCTCCCTGAGATATAATAGGAGTGGTGAGTAAGAGAAGAGGTTTTGAGCAAGGTACACCTAAATTTAAATCCTAATAACACTTACTCAGTAGCTGTCTATCCTTGGTCGTGGTATTGACTCTGTCTAAAGTCATGTCATCACTCAGTGTTTCTACTAAAGGCGAAGGAGCACCATTCTAGTTTTGTACTCAATGTGTTTTTGAAATACCAGAGCCAAGCTATCTGTCAGAAATTGTATATCTTCCCTAGTCTGGTAATGAAGCTGCGATTTCATGGATTGGTCAGTTACATGGATTGGTCAGTTATGAATACTGAAAAGGCGCTAAGAATTCTCTAAAATGTGGTACCAGAATGCCCTTAGTTTGATTAAATAATGCTAGTGTGGAATTAAATCAGTATTTTACTTACTTTCTTTTCCCCAAACATTTCCATTTCATCCAGTCTAAGAAGCACTTCTCTTCTCCCCACTCCTCCCGCCTCTTCAATGGAGTAAAAATAGCACCAACCCTGAAGTCATAAGGATTCCCCTTCAAAGTCTGTCACAAGTTAGTGATAGCATCACCATGAAGTCCTCACCTCTAGGCCTCACCTGTAGAAAGTAAGAATTTGAGCATATTGGTTTCCAAGATCCCTTATAGCACAAGAATTTTTTCAGGAATTGGCTCTATTGTTACAACCTAAATTTAACTGCCTTGTTGAGATCCTTGGGGTTTCTTTCATTAGACTATTCCACTCCACTGATAAGTGAGTGCATTTCGGAATTACACACAGAGATAGCTAGGCCATGGGGGCCCAATAAATACTCACTGATTGTTGGCCCAGCGAGCCAGGAGACCTAGGTTCTGCTCCCACCCCCCACTGGCTGGCAGCCAACCCTCATAGGCCAGCTTCCTCCTGTGGATAAAGAGGATTGCTCAGTGTATCTCTAAGGTCCCTTTCATGCCTGACATTTTCTGGTTCTGAAAATAAATGCTAATGATTGCCAAGTCCCAGAAACACCCTGGTGAATGCTGGATTTTGACCAAGGGTGAGCTATGTCACTGACCCTCTCTATTGACTGAACTGACTATAAAGGGAAAGCCTGACTGCCCAGATCTCCCAGCAAGTGTGTTTTCTTGCACATGGGGGAGTAACTGGATGATGTAATGCTGAGTTATGTAATGCTGGTTCTTCACGGTCGGCTCCAGCAGCGGGGCCTGTTTGAGAAAAGCCTGGAGCTGCACTTTGTGAAAGCTTTTGACACCCAGCAATGGCAGGAGTGTTGCATGGATCATGGTGATTTCTGGGGTACTGTGACCTGGAAAAGAGAACCTGCCTTTTCCTACAGGTGATAGGTTATAGATATCTCATTTACGAATGAGGTTTCCCTCCCTGGAACTCATCAGAGCTTCTGAGAAGGAGTGAGGTGGAGAAGGGGGAGCTGGTAAAAATAGCAAAAATAAATTTTCCTCTTGCTTTGAACCAGGTTCTATTTTAGCAGAGCCAAACTTAGTGTTTTGTTTTTTAAAAAATAAGTATCAGCTATTATTTGAAGCTCACTGCTGTCTGTATAGCTGTTCATGTTTTTTGTAATATTAAAGTATTTTTCCTACTGGAAATAATTTTTGAAACTCAGCCTGTTTTTTTTTATAAGACATTGACCATACTTTTTTCTCTCCCTGGCAGTTCAGGGAACCACTCGGAAAATGGCTTGCTCCTGTCTATTTCTGTACTGTGTTCAGCCTGTCCCCCGATAGTCGTATTTTATGGCCAGCCTCTGCAGTATTCCAGTTGATTTGTAACCATGAGTCTCTCTCCAGCCAGATTGCAGGATGCCGGAGGGCTGGGCCTTCCATGTCCTTGGGACCTAGCACAGCACGAGGCACACAGCACACCCAGTGCACTTGTGTCTGCATTCACCTCCTCCCCTAGGGAAGGCCTTCAGTGACCTTCCTGCCCCTTTCTTCCTGCTGCAATCTCATTGTTCTCTGGACCAACAACACACTTTATTGTGACTTTGCTTAATAGCATGATCACATTGTTTTAGAATGGCATTTTAATAAGTCATCCTGTCCCTACCCTGTGAGCTTCCAGAGGATTAGCGTTGTTCTTATTCACTGTGATCCCCAGTGCCTTGTTGATGCAGAAAGCACTCCATTAATGCCTAATATAATAAGGCCAAGCTGGCTTGGTAGGAAAACGTAGGGAGTTCCGCTGAAACTCAGAAGGATGGTTCCAGTCCAGACTCTGACTTGCTTTCTGGCCAGAAGTCTTCACCTACCCTGTGCACCACTTAGCATCTTTGCGAATAGACAAAGTGAGATGATGTGCACTAGCACCCTGTGGAAACAGCAAAGCTGCTGATCAGTGTAAAGCAAAAAGTGACCGAGGCAGATCTCAATCGATAGAGGTTTATTTGGCCAAGGTTGAGGATGCACCCGGGAAAAAGAAACACAAGTCACGGGAGGATCTGTCATCTGTGCTTTTTTGAAAGAGGGTTTTGGGAACTTCAGTGTTGAAAGGGGAAAGAGCATGCAGGAGAGGAAAGGGAAAAAAAGGAGAGAGGGTAAGCAGTGAGGCAAGTGGTTCCTTCCTTGTGAGGCTCTGACTAGCGCTCAGTGAGTCTGCATTTCACATGGGAAGAGAGGGAGGGAGAAGTCAGTTACCTGTTTGGGAGCAGAAGGAAGGCAGTTTTTGTGTGACTCACTTCCCAAGCTTCCCTTTCCCTTTGGCATCATGAGTTTGGGGTCCTTCGATTCTGCTTTTCTTTCACACCAGTGAGTCCTGTTATCCTTAACTAACAAACACTCAGACTAAAACTCCTCCTTTACTTGAGGAAGTGGGCATATCCCTTTCCAGAAAAGAAGCCAAGGAAACTAGAGTATTCCCCTGTCCCCCAGCCCACCCCCAGAGTCAGTTGAAAAGAAAAGGTGATCCATGAGGTAAGTTCCAGCAGGATGAAAGGAGACTGTGGAACTCTTTTATTTTCCCTGGTGCCCCACGGGAAGGCATGAAGGCACAGGCCCAGGAGTACAACAGGAGTGGTTTCAAGTCCTGGCTATCACTCCCAAGCTTTATGAGTTTAGGCAAATGACTTTCTGTGGGACTCTTTCTCTTCTGTAAAATAGGCATAATTGTCTGCCCTTCCTAGGGGTGTGAAGGAGACTGACAATGTTTGTGAGGCACACAGCACAGCGCTGGGCCCATGATAAGTGTTCAGTAAGTAAGAGACAGCTGCAGCCTCATCTATACTTCAAACTGCTTTTTCCTTACTACTTTTAAAAACTCAAGTGCTAAAACAAATCCTGATGGAGACGTTCCCACTTTGGTTTCAGCCCCATAAGTGTGCGGAAAGGGAGCAGCTGTCCGTTCTTCTTTCATGTGCTTCTGCTCTCCAGCCGCTTAGACGCAACACGAGGGGCCCTGCCCAGCTGCAGGCTCTCGGCATGCTGTTCTTGTTATAATACACGTCTGACTTCCCCGGCCGCTTTTCAGTGCATTAAGTGGAGCTGTGAAGACTAAATTCCAAGTGACAGTTTCAGTGTGAAATATTTATTGCATGCTGATAAAAGAATATCCACCTGAATAGAATCAGGAGGGCCAAGGGAAAATTGCAGTCCATGTAATCTTCCATATTTTAAACGTTCCCATCACATTGCAGACTGCTAGGCAAGGAAGTGAAATAAAGGCTTCAGGAAAAATCTCATGGAGGGCAAGGTGGTGTTTGGAAGTAAAAAATGGGAGTCCCTTAATTTGAATAAAGGTGTTCTCAAATTCAGAAGATGGGGAGGCAGGACCAGGAGCCATTAGGAGGCCTACCAAGCAGCTGTCCCAGGCAGCAGACTACTGTATACAGACAGAAAGGCCTGATTTCACAGTTGTCTTTTCCTCCATACCCATGTGCGTAGAATGGTGCCTGATCAACAAGATATGCCTAATCAGAGCTTCAGTGAAATTTTCCTTGGATTTCTGTAATACCCATCTCAGCCTGTATTTCCGAGCATCATGGAATGTCCCCTGGAGCAAGTTACCAAAGTCCGGGGGGCGTGGGTAGTTAATCGTCTGTATTTGAGGAATTTGTTTTCTGATGACAGATGAAGGACAGATTTCACGTGTGCATGTTCAAACACATGCCTGTAGAGGTGGACAAGTACTCAGAGTTGCTTATGTGACTTTTTGGTTTATTAGTGTTGTATGTCGTTCTCTCCTTGGAGACTAGGGCTGTCCTCTCTGTCTCACACTTATCACAGTGCCCTACACACTGATAATGGTTAGAAAATGCTGCCAAATGAATTATATGCTATAATTATAAAGGACTAGATTCCACAAACTTGAATTCCTTCATAGTAGCTTGTGTCATTCACTGTATTTATGGAATACCCTTATGAAAAAAGCAAAAAGTCTAAGCCAACAAAATTTTAGCCATATCCTGGAACAATAATTAGAGCTGTAACTAATTATAACAGCCCTGTCTTTGGAGGCAGTTGGCAGCCCTGACATACATACGAACTTATGGCAGGCTATTCATCTTTTCTTGGGAGAACTAGGGAGAAATAAGGTGGGTGGGGTGGCCAAAAACCACTTTGGAAAGGCCTGTTGGAACAAGTACTTCTTGCCCAAACATCTGAACAGAAGGCCCTTTGCTGAGTTAGGCCACATGGTCCATCCAGTGCCCACATCATCCTTTTGCAGCCTCTTGGGATGGCATAGAAAGTTCATATTCCTCCTGTTTGTATGTAAGGAGGTTGGACATTGGGAAATCAGGCTGCCCCTGGAAGTTGGAACATCAAAGGCAAGTCCAGGAACCACATACTGCACAATGAGCCAGGCCCCTCTGCCTGTCAGTTTGTCTCTGGACTTCCATGGAATACAGGTATTGTAGACACACAAACCCTTCACACAATGCAATTTACTCACCTTTACCTGTGGGAGAATTCTATGTATGTGAATTCAGACATGCTGAAAATACAGAAAGATCATATATAGTAATGTTCTTGTCAGGGCACTTTGTTTACACAAATTCATTATAAAAATTTAGAATTGCAAAGTGTAATTCAGTTAATTGAGCACCTGCAAAAACAAGTTTTGGTCATGGTTATTCACTGATTATGGAGGCTGAAGCAGTTAACTTTTCATTTATGTTTTATATACCAGGTGCCGCAGGCATGGATCATTTCATGAAAGAGGATGACCCTGCAGGGCCTCCTTATTTTGCAGATGAGGAAACTGAGGCTCAGAGAAGTTAAGAAATGAGCTCAGAGAGGTTAAGGAGCTTAAGACTCCGCAGCCAGTAATGGTTGATGCCAGGATTTGAGCTGAGGTCTCCATCACCATATCATGCTGCCTCCCAATAGGATCCTTTAATTGCATTTTAATAGAATGAATTTTATTAAAATTTTAGGTAGATATACTTTCGTAGCCTTGGCTAACCCCTTCCAACTGAGAGCCAGTGACTTGCTGAAAGTCAGAGTGCCTCTCTGGGGAAGGCACCCACAGCCCCGTGATTCCTGACTGCCCCGTCTTGGTGCCCTGGATCTTCAGGAGCGCACAGAGAGAAATGAGGTGCAGGGGGTCACTGCCAGCAGGTTTGGAAAGACAGATGGTTCCCTCTGGAGCAACAAACAGATTAGCTAAGCAGGTGACCCAGCAGGGCAGCCCCAGAGCTGAGCGCAGAAGGCTGAAAAGAGGATTTAGCCAGCTCGGTGAACTGATTCACCCAAAGAAAAGTAAGACAGTTTGTGGCATGAGCTTGTCAACCCCTTTACCCCTTGCCAGTTGATGATGATTTGATGCATTGGTATGTTTCCAGGCCACTCTCAGGGATCTGAAATTCTTGGCTAGACAGGGAAGAGCATTTGAGCCTGCCCGTGCACTTGCACTGCCAGGACTAGCAAGCAGTGCCAAGGTTTGCCTGATCACTTGTCCCCATCCTTGATGGGGACAAGAAAACTAAAGGAATTTTTCTTTTGATGGCAAAAGAAAACTAAAGGAAGACTGATACATTCCATATCAGATACCCATGTTGCACTCTAAATTACTCTCCTCAGATACTTTAAACCCTTCACAGCTGGAGTTTTCCATTATCTAAGCACTTGTAATATTTGGAAAGAAAAACCATAACCAATCTCAAAACAACCATGATTCACTCCCCCACAAAAAATGAAAAATTAATCTTAATTTTAAAATATTTTGTTCTTATACATTACAGTACACTTGGAATTTCATTCAACTTTCTGTTTTACACGGTATTACTGGGTGAACAAAAGGCTTTCTGGCTCTGAGGGTATCTTCAAAGACGGGACTTTTACCTTATACCAGTGGTTATCAGCCCTGACTGTACGTCAGAACCACCTACAGTGCTTGTACAGACCAGTCTACTCCAGACCAGTTGAATTTGAATCTCTGAGTGTGGGAGTCAGGCATCAGTATCCCGAAGTGATGACAGTGTGCAGCCACAGTTGCGAACCAGTGGCTTACAATGAACTAGAGAGGGGCCTTGTCCTGGTCTACTCCACCTGTGAGCCCTGCAGAGTGCATGTTCTCCACAAGGCTAGTCTCCGGGCAAGCTGTCTTTGGTTTTTGTGATGACTTTCCCTGATCTCTGGATCTCTCTAAATTCAATCTTTGCTCTCGTGATTATTTTTATTCTGTTGCACTTTTACCGACTTTCAGACTCTGTTTAGAAGTTTTATTTTAAATTAAACAATGAAAATTTTACTGCAACTGAAAATTTCATGTGCTTCCACCCGGTGGAGTAGAGTGCATGCTCCTGAGGAGGCTCTTTGGGGTTCGAGCTGATATCACAAGACAATATCCTTAACAACCAAGTAGAATAACAGGGCTTAGAGCCAAAAGAATACCAGAGACATGTCCTCGAGAGTGGAGTCCTCATCTGAGGGAGATGTTATTTAACATTCTTTGGGAGGCATTTTTCTAGTGCAGCTAAGGGTTTGCTACCCATACAAATTGTGGCTGATCCATCCTGCACTTCTGGAGACACGCTTATCATGTAAACCCTGGCAATGAGAATATCCACAGTGTCCTATATATTTATAGCAGGCATTTTCCCAAGCAGGATTCCAAGTACATCTACAGTTATTAAGAAAGTCATACACCTTCTCTCCTTTCAGGGGGAATTTGTGGGAAGAAAAGATTAATATACCTATATACCAAGAAAGACATATGTAAAATTTTTTCAGCCCTTCAGGATTGTTGTTATGAATATGCTCTAGACCAGTCTGTTTTGAAACTGTGTTGCAGCCCTCAGCTGCACAACTTGTTCTCAGTATCAACTCTCTTATAGCACCTTGGGGGCAGCAAGGAGACCTGTAGAAGCAAAACAAGGCAATGGCTGTTGGGAGCTGACCCAGTGACAAATGCTAATACCCTGGGCCAAATGTCCTAGCATCCAAAGGAACTGGATGGCACAGCTTAAATTGGGATGGGTTGGCCAGACCAGAACACCAACTTTTTTCAGGCAATTGCCTGGCAATTCCTGGCAATTTGAGAAAAATTGAGATTTTTCTCAACTTCAGGGCCATTCAAGGTTCAGCCTGTTGATGGAAATCTCTGTGACAGTTTCAGTCTGGTAGTGACTGTTCTTCCCTGCAATATTGTGTAGATTTCACAAAAGCATGTGTAACAGCTTTATTGAGATGTGATTCACATACCACAAAATTCACCCATTTGAAGTATACAAGTCAGTGGTTTTTAGTATATTCAAAGTTGCACAACCATCACCATGATCAATTTTAGAACATTTTCATCACCGCAGAAAGAAACCCCATACCTATAGCTGTGACTCCCCATTTTCCCCCAACCCACTCTTCCCTAGCCCTAGCCAATCATCAGTCTACTTTCTATCTCTGTGGATGAAATTTATATTCACGACTGGCCTCTTTCACTTAGCGTAATGTTTGCAAGGTTCATCCATGTTGTAGCATAAGAGAGTACTTCCTTCCTTTTTAATGCCAAATAGTCTTCCATTATATGGATATACTACATTTTATCCATTCATTTGTAGATGAACATTTGGGTCATCCCCACTTTTTGCTCTTGTGAATGATGTTGCTATGAACATTCATATGCCAGTTTTTGTGTGGCCATATGTTTTCATTCCTCTTGTATATATACTTAGAAGTGGAATGGCTGGGTCATATGGTGACTCTGTTTGAACTTTTTGAGGAATTACCTAGTCTTTTTCCAAAGTGGCTGAACCATTGTGCATTATTACCACCAGCAAGGTATAAGGGTTCTAATTTTGCCCCATTCTTGTAAACACTTGTTTTTTTCTGTCGTTTTGATTATAGCCATCCTAGTGGGTATGAGTGGTGTAAGATATACCTTTTATACATGAAACAACCAGATCTAGATTAGAAGGCTAACGTTGACCTAGTTACCCTTTAAGGAAGGTTAAGACAGCAGGGAGGCGGGGATGGACATGGACCTTAGGCCAGTCCTCTGTATCTAAACTCAATTCTCTGTGGATTGAGAACCAGGTTAGCCCTTTGCTGACTTTACAGTGCTTGTAAGAGATGGGTATTACTGGGCAATGAGGTTTAGATAGCCAGGGGCTAATTCAGAGCATCTGGAGCTCTGGGTAAGAATCCTGTCTCTCACTGCTCCCTGTGGCCCTCCCTGAGCTGCAGTGGAAGAGAATGACCTCCAGATGGACAAGAGTAATGTGCCTTGCCTTTTGTGGTACCTCATAGAGTCCTTTCACACAGTAGGTGGAGGTTGATTTTTTTAACATCAAAAACACAGACCTTCTTAGTGCTAAGCCAGCCAGACTTTTGTTAGCCTGATTCTTCTTGACAAACCTGATGCTGCTTATCCTTTGAAACTTCATCTTTAGTCTTCTTTTTTCATGCAAAATATAGGCCTCTGTGACAAGTAGATATTTGCACTTGGGTGTTTTATGAGTACTTGAAAGCCGTGATGTCCAAAACTCAGTTAGTTGCCCTCCCTTTCTCTTTTCTTTTTTTTCTTTGAGACGGAGTCTCACTCTTGTTGCCCAGGCTGGAGTGCAGTGGTGCAATCTCGGTTCACTGTAACCTCCGCCTTCTGGGTTCAAGCGATTCTCCTGCCTCAGCCTCCTAAGTAGCTGAGATTACAGGCACCTGCCACTACACCCAGCTGTTTTTTTGTTTTGTTTTGTTTTTGTTTTTGTTTTGTATTTTAGTAGGGATGGGGTTTCACCATGTTGGTCAGGCTGGTCTTGCACTCCTGACCTCAGGTGATCCGCCCACCTCAGCCTCCCAAAGTGCTGGATTACAGGCGTGAGCCACCGCACCCGGCGCTGCCTTCCCTTTCTCTTAAACTAATTTACCTTCCCAGTTCCTCCATTTCTCAGTAACTGAGGCTCAAATCCTCCCTCTTGCCTACACATAGGAAATGTGACCTTGATTAGGTTATCTATTTGAAATAAATTCGGGACTTTGCTCAGGTCCTCCAAAATAGAAGATCCCTGTGAATATTAAAATATATTCTTTTATTTTATTTATTTATTTTTTTTGAGGCAGCGTCTCACTCTGTCACCCAAGTTGGAGTGCAGTGGCATGATCTCGGCTCACTGCAACCTCTGCCTCCCAGGTTCAAGCAGTTCTCTGCCTCAGCCTCCGGAGTAGCTGGGATTACAGGCACCCGCCACCATGCCCAGCTAATTTTTTTTGTATTTTCAGTAGAGACGGGGTTTCACCATCTTGGCCAGGCTGGTCTTGAACTCCTGACCTCGTGATCCACAGGCCTCGGCCTCCCAAAGCGCTGGGATTACAGGCATGAGCCACCGTGCCCGGCCAAATATTAAAATCTATTCTAAGATATTACCCTTTTTCTTGAGGTTCTGGCTTGGCATATGCTCTAGACTTATATAATCAGGCACAGCCAACTCAGGCACTTGGCCCCCCCCTTCAACCAACTCAGTGTGTCATAGTCTTGAATCCTCTTGAAGACCTTCCTTGCCTACCTTATCATGAATCACCAGTAAGCACCTATGTTTTTTCCAAAGGACTTGGTTTGAGGTTCTGTTAGATATTCCTGTTGACTAGATGCTCATCTGTTTCAGTAATCTCACTTGAATGTGGAAGCACCCTTTGTTTCCTGGCAGCCTAATTTCTCTGCACAGTTACAGTGGTTAGATGTGTATTGATGAGCATTACTCTCTAACTGCTCGTGTCAAAGCACTTGGGGAGGCTCATCAATCTTGTGCGTTTTTAATTGACATCAATAATGTGTTTGCATTTATCAATATTTCCTAATTGCCGAGTTGTCACAGTGGAACTTCTATAATAAATCATGCCCACAGATAGCTTCAGAGGTTACAGCTTAACATTCCTGTCAATATTTTGATGTATTATAAATTGTTTTTATCAGAATTTTTTCCTGTGAGAAAGGAGGAGCTGTACAGCAAGAGACAAAAGAATTGAGTCACTGTCACCATATACAGTTATGTTAAAGAACCAAATCATTCCAATGGAAATAGAAAAAAGCTATTTCCCAAGCTGATACAATTCATTCCCATAAAGTTTGGCATCATCATCTAGATTAATGCAAATATGTTTCCCCTGATAGTGGTGTGCTGTGCCCAGCTCCTCTGAGGAGAGGCATCTGGATGGTCGGACAGTGAGCACTCTTAGGAGGAAGGCACTGTACCAACCTGCTTTTCAGAAGAGGAAACTGTGAGGAAGCTTCGTGAGCTGCAGTTACTTGCCCAGAGTCAAACTGCTTTTGCAGAGCTGGAACTCAACTCAGGGCCGTCTGAGTCCATGTTTGGACTCTTGACCTCTTAGGGACAAGCTTAAACCCAAAGGAGGATGAGGCCTGGATATTAGAAGGCATGAGTCTCCATCATCTGTTAAAGCAGGTAGAGGCAGTAGGGTGTTGGGCTTGGAAAAGCAATGGTTGTGAAGGCTCCAGGACCTGCACTCCTGTACCTGCAAGACAGTCACATGAGGGAGAGTTAGACATGATATCTGCGCCAGATGATGGGGACTGGAAAGGCAGAGGGAGTCCACTGCCCTGGGCAGAGGCAGTGCTGCGGGGTCGGAGCCACGTTGCCCCAGCGTCCTTGAGTGACTCTTACCACTCTCTGTCCCAGTTTCCTCAGCTCTGAGATGGGAATGTGGGAGCACCTCACTCACGGGGTCATTAGGAGGATTCACAAACTAATACGTGACAAGAGCTTATGATGATGCTTGGGGCATACTAAGTGCAATATAAGGGTTTGCTGTTGCTTTGTTATAAAGCCAGACTTTCAGTTGGTGTGAGGAAGTTTTTTTCTAAGAAATCATTCAATATTTATTCATTAATTCTGGGGATACAGTGATAGATAAGACAGATATAGTACCTGCCCCTGCCCTCATGCAGCTTACAATCTGTGTTAGAAAGGGAATTGCTATGTGCCTCAGGTGAATAGCTGTTGAGCACCTGAAGGAGCCATTTCTGAGACCGTGACCCCACCCTTTTCCTGTCATTGAAGATGCCCAAGCAGACACTGAGGTCCTTGTGAGAAGGGCTTCATACTGTGGGGGTTCTTTGTTTTGTTTTGTTTTGATGAGACAGGGTCTCTCACTTTGTCACCCAGGTTGGAGTGCAGTGGCGCTATCTCAGCTCACTGCAACCTCTGCCTCCCAGGTTCAAGAGATTCTCCTGCCTCAGCCTCCTGAGTAGCTGGGACTACAGGCGCATGCCACCATGGCAAGCTAATTGTCGGGGTTTTTTTTGTTTTTGTTTCTTTTTTTTTTGTAGAGATGGGGTTTCACCATGTTGGCCAGGCTGGTCTCAAACTCCTGACCTCAAGTGATCACCTGCCTCAGCCTCCCAAAGTGCTGAGATTATAGGCGTGAGCCACCATACCCGGCCTGATACTGTGGGGTTTTGTAATGTCCTTAACATCCCTCTGCAAGGGAAGGTTAATTAAATGCAACCAATGATAATAACATCAATATGTACATTGCTTTACTTTAAAACTACCTGGCACCCTCCAGGTCTCTAGGGTGAGGTGAGTAAACTTCAAGATTTTGCAGGGCCGTCCTGTGAGCTGCAAGAATGAAAGGTAGGACTTCTACTTAGAATTTTCATTTGTCTATTGTGTGTATTTTAATAAGCACAATTTAGTGGTACAGGAACACATATGCATAATTTTTAAATAAATGTATGTACATCAAGCCTTTATGTGTAACAGTTTCTTGCTAATGACGTAAACAGTTTTAAAAGTTTAAAGTCTACCACTGTAGGTTTTACCAAAATACCTGAATTCTGTAAAGCCAGAAGCTATTATAGTAATGAAATGGTGTTTCCATAGCTGGGTGCAGTGGCTCACACCTGGAGTCCCAGCTACCCAGGAGGCTGAGGTGGGAGGATCACTTGAGCCCAGGAGTTTGAGGCTGCAGTGAGCTATGATCGTGCCACTGCACTCCAGCCTGGACAACAGAGTGAGACCCTACCCATAAAATAAAATAAAATTCACAGTGTTTCTATATTTTCCTAATTTTCTGATTTAGCCATTTATGGATAATTTTCAAAGGTAGTATTTTTCCAAAGACGCTTTCACTTCTACTGGAGAGCTTAAAAAAGAATCATGAAATACTTGATGTTTTTATAGGACTTAACAATGCTATTGCATTTAACCCTCCTACTAGCCCATGAGGTAGGTCTTATGTCCCACCTCGAAGAAGAGGGAACTAAGCATTTCAGAAGGTATGCCCAGTTCTGGTTGTACCTCATCATTTTGCCAGAGAAGAGAAATTACAGACTTAGGAACAGTAAAGCTGGTGCTCATTACCAGCCGCACACCAGGGTATGCCTGTTCACACGGGTCACAGGGGATGCTGGGAGGGACTGTGGCCATTTGTTCTTACTAGTGCCACCCTCTGCTCTTACCCAAAGACAGCACCCTTCAAATATGTATCCTTCAACAAGATTTATTAGGAAACTACAGTTGGCCAAACCTTCAGGAGCTTTCAGTTTATAAGAAGAGGTAACGTATCTTTTCTAATCCCCAAATGGAGCGTATGAAGCTGACTGTTAATTAGTGGCAAACTTTAATTTGGAGGGTAGTCTCCATGTTTGTCCTCTGTCTCTCTCTTTCTCATTCTCTTCCCCCACCCCCCACCCCCCCACACACACCCTGTTGGTTCTGTTTCTCTGGAGAACCCTGCCTAATACAAGATCTAAACCTTTGAAATCAGACCTGGCCTACATAACGTGCCTTTTTAACAATCATATATTTCTTTTAAAGCAGCTGAAATTAAGCATGAACCATTAATTTTGATCATCCGTTTTATTAAAATTTGGGAAATTTTAAGTACCTAGGTACTATATGTCCTTTTTCTGAGTTTCTCTTAATTCCTAACCAAATCATATCCATAGTATGCTCCTTTCTAAGTCACTGTCAGTCCTGGCTGCGTCATGCTTTCCAAGGGTTTTTACTGATGGATTCTCAGTTTCAGCCTAGGAAGGTTGTCAGGATCTCTGGCCTGCTTTCTTTGGCTGTTCATCTGTCTCAGCCATCAACATGGTCTCTTGATAACTTAGATTGTTGGTTAATTAGAGAACAGCTTTAGTTTGCCCTTTTAGCACTTCTGATTAACTAGGACAGTCTGCTTTACTCTCCCTCTGACTTCTCCAAGATTCCCTGCTGCCTCATTTTCAAAGACCAAAACAGGAAGACAGAAACACAACACACAGAATCCCTCAGCTGAGTATGAAATTTCTGGCCATCCTTCACTGCTCTATCTGAGGATTATTAGATGCTTTGGGAAGAGTCAGAAAGAACCCTGCCTTCTATTACATGTTTCTTCAACTGGATGACTAGCAAGCTACAATTTGAAATGGTCTTCAGAAATACTGCTCTTAACAAAGCTAAGGCGTTTTTTTTTTGTTTTCTGGTTTTTTTTTAAATCACATATAGTACATAGAGGTGCTAAAAATAGAGCTTACAGTTACTTCTATTTCTTCACTCATAGGAGAAGAAAGCCCTGTAACCCCAAGGGTTGTTTCCTTGTTGTTACTTTTGTTGTTTGTCATGTCAGCCCTCTCTTCTTGTTTAAGGAATCTTGCATTTTGAGGCCTTGTCCTGTAGGGCTGTGTGCCTATTACCTCTGCCTACTGAACTGAAATCCAAGAGTAAGCTCTTAGGCCCAAATGCACTTTGTTTTTTGTTTTTGAGACAGAGCCTCACACTGTCACCCAGGCTGGAGTACAGTGGCGTGATCTTGGCTCACTACAATCTGCCTCCTGGGTTCAAGCCATTCTCCTGCCTCAGCCTCCCGAGTAGCTGGGATTACAGGCATGCACCACCAAGCCTGGCTAATTTTTGTATTTTTAGTAGAGATGGGGTTTTGCCATGTTGGCCCAGCTGGTCTCAAACTCCTGACTTCAGGTGATCCGCCCGCCTCGGCCTCCCAAAGTCCTGGGATTACAGGCGCGGGCCACCGCGCCAGGCCCTAAATGTGCTTTGGATACAACGGAATACACAGCCTGTTGTGGATTTGGTGCCTTTTAACCATGCGCAGATTCAGAAGTTAGATCTCATCATGGAAGAGGACAGCAGCAACAGCCCCATAGAGGTGCAGTCCCCTGTGGATGGTGCCCCTCACAGGCATTCTGTCCTGTGCTAATGAGCACAGTGGGGGACTCAAAGGCCTAACTGTCCCAATGCTATGGTAGTGATTAGGACCTCAGAACAGTTTTCGTTAAATTAAAAAAAGTCAATTTTTCCTGACAGAGCCTTACTACATGTCTCTTTGGGGGGACTGAGTAAGGGGAGGGGTGCTTCCTCAGAGCACATTCAGGAAGCGTATTAACACAGCTCCTGCAGTGTGTGCTGTCCTCTTCCTGCTCTCCAGGCGAGGACATTATGTACTGGCCTCCTGCCTTGCCCCCAGCCGTTCTCTACCCACACAGGGTCCCTCCACCACCCTACCCCAGGCCATCTTCAGTCAGAAGTAGCAGCACTTTAAATGTCATTCACAAAGTCCTGTGGGGAACAGCCCCAGGATGCTCAGCAGAGGAAACACAAACTTTATATTGCTGAAAAGGTGGATTATAAGCCCACTGCCTTTTCTGATGTACTCTTCGTTTTCAGATTTCCTCCATTGTCCTATAATATCTTTTATAACTTTTTTAATCCAGAATCCATGCAAGCATCAAGCATTGCATGCATTAGCTCTCCTGCATTTTTTTTAACTTTTATGACATTGATGTATTGAGTCCAGAATGTTCTCCAGTCTTAATCTGTCGGATTGTTTCTCTAAGGTTACATTCATAATAAGCACTTTTGGCAGGAAAACTACGTAAGTAATATGGCATTCTTCTCAGTGCACCACATCAGGAGGCCCATAATGTCAATTGTACAATTATTGGTTCATGCTGAGTTTGATCATTTGTTAGAGTAGAATTGACCAGATGTTTACACTGTAAACATACTGTTTTTCTTTGTAATTAATAAATCTGTTCCCCAACAACCTTTCACTCAGTGGTTTTCAGACCCATTAATGTGCCTTGCCTGAATCAGTTGTTACATTAGTGGTTGCAATATGGTGATTTTTCTAATTCTCTGATCACCAAGTTGTCTTCTTAATAACACACTAGGGCCCGTTTTAATGAGAGTAAGTCCTAAATTACAGACAGGTAAATTTGTCACTAATCTATCTCAGTTCTCATTCCTAGTTTCACAAACTCATGACCTTAGCTCAAGACAGTGAAAATACTCTCTCACAACACATTTTCAGGCCTTATCTTTGAGTCATATACTTCTCAGAATGGCGCGTAGCTCTTATTTCCACTCAGAGACATGGGGTCAGTCTGGCATCAAAAGGACTTCAGATTGCTTCCCTGAGCTGCCTGTGACAATCATCCACCCTGCCTGGACCGCTGACATGGACAAAAATGGAGACCTATGTTCTGTTTCTAGTCTTTTGGGGATCGTAACCTCTTTTTACCAAATGCATCGTGAACTTTTCTCATGTGACCCCATTCTCTCTTGACTCATGTTGTTTTAATAGCTTCCAGTATTTCATTGTATAGCTTATCATTTGTTTATTGTTTCCCCCAAATGTTGAATATTTACTTGGTCCCTAATTTTTTTTTCTATTACAGTGTTGCCATAAATATCTTCATGTACATCCGTGATTTTCTCTTAGGAAAAATTCTTATTAAAATAACTAGATCAAATAATGTATATGCTCTTATGCTCTTAAGGCACATGAGGCAAGTTTTTAATACAATGCCTTTAGCTGATAAAAACTTTTCACCCTTTCCCCAGAAATAGGTATGTATAAACACAGAGACAAAGTTTTGCATAACATATCTGGAAGTTCCTGAAGCCACGGGCTCAGGTTCAGAAACTTTAGTTTGTAAAACTGAAATCTGAAAATTCCCAAGATTGTATTATCTAAGAAATTCTCTCAGGCTTTCTCTGACCCCAGCATTCCACAGTTGCAGACACTAGATTTAACATCAGCCTTATGACAACACATGAGTAATGCATTGCACAATGGTGTTAACAACGGCAGAGTTACTAGATGATAGGAATTTTTCAGCTCCATTGTAATTTCATGGGACTGCTGTCATATATGGGATCTGTTATTTTGTGGCACATGACTGGTTTTTGGAATTCAGTGTTTTCAGTCACATGAGAGATAGTCAAGTTATCACGCTCTGCATGCCTGCATGTGTGTGTCCCTCCTGTGTATATTACGGGGAAATGATTTTAATTAAATAAATATCATTTAATTGAATATTTAATGCCAGAGCCTATTAGAACAGATACGGTGTTACTACAGAATACCAAGTGAATTTTTTTCTAAATGGGCTTTTTCCTAAGCAGAGTTACATTGTGCTAAAATACATCCATCCATCTATCTATATATCAGGAGAGCATTTAGAAGTCACTGCTACTTAAAAATGTTGAGCATTCTCAGTTTGAGCCAAATTGGTTTTTAAATTAAAAAAAAAAGCCTCAAGGAAATCAAATGCTTTGAGTCTATTAAGGAATTTACTGAGACTCCAGTAGTATCTACTCTGTGTACTTAGCATAATACTTTATTATTCCAAAATCAACTCAGAACTGATTCCAAGAAAATCCTAGGAAAAAATTAAAGTGAGGAGGAAATAATCCCTTTGTGCGGTGTTTGAGGCAAATTAGAAAGCAGGAGTCTCTGAACTCAAATCTGGTTCTGTCATTAAATCACTAAAGGACTTGGGAAAATTAGATAAATTCTTTTTGTTCTATCTATTAAATGGAGACAACAGTATCAGCCTACTTTTCTAGACCAGGAAAACAATTCTTTGTGTCAGATCAACCTCTGTTATATAAAGATTTCTTGAACACAGTAGTACTACAGGGAAAACCCTGGATTGGGGAGAACAGTGATTCGATTCATAGATTAGGTGAAGCATGTACTGATTTTTTTAGACAGGTGATTTAGCCACCTTTGTGTGTTTTACTTTTTTGCTTTTTGAACTCTTCTCACTCTCATGGCTAGCATCGTAGACAAATTTAAAAGCTCTTAAAGTCATGCTCATCGACAAAATGGAGTTATTAGTAGCTCTTAATTTTCCTGTCTTAGGCACCATGTGGAATAATGTAGAGCTTCATGGTGCCTTGCGGCTGGAATTTCAGTCACCCGAAATGCATGTCAGAGCACCAGGACTAGTGGCTTACTGGCCTTCAGACAGCGGTGCTAGAGCAGCGTAAACTCTTGAAGTCACAGATCTGCTTTCAAATCCTAGGCTAAGCACTAACCTTAGGCTCACCACTAACCTTAGGCTCACCACTAACCTTAGGCTAAGCACTAACCTTAGGCTCACCACTAACCTTAGGCTAAGCACTAACCTTAGGCTAACCACTAACCTTAGGCTAAGCACTAACCTTAGGCTCACCACTAACCTTAGGCTAAGCACTAACCTTAGGCTAACCACTAACCTTAGGCTAAGCACTTAATTTCTCCAAAACAAATAAAACTGGGGCTGTTGTGAAATTGAGATACGATAATAGTGTTTTATAATCTAAAAACAAGATGTTAGCAAGAGGCAAATATTAATAACAATTGTATGTAATACAGTACGGGAAAACAGCAAGACAAGGGGTCCTATTAATATTGATAGTTGGGTCAGGCACCGTGGGAGCCACATGCAGTGGCTCACAGCTGTAATCACAGCACTTTGGGAGGCTGAGACAAGCAGATCGCTTGAGCCCAGGAGTTTGAGACCAGCCTGGGCAACATGGTGAAACCCCTGTCTCTACAAAAAAATATAAAAATTAGCATGGTGACATGCACATGTAGTCCCAGCTACTTGCGAGGCTGAGGTGAGAGGATTCCTTGAGCCCCAAAGGTCAAGGCTGCAGTGAGCCATGATTGCGCCACTGCACTCCAGCCTGGGTGACAGGACAAGACACTGTCTCAGAAAATATATCATCATAATAGTAGGTCATGTTTATTAAGTTCTTACTGTGTACCAAGCTCTACACAAAATGTTTAATGCACTGTCTCATTTAATCCTCCAATAGTACTATAAGATGAGGAAACAAGTTTAGAGAGGTTAACTTACCCATTGTCACTCACTAGTAAGTAAAGGAGCCAAGTTTCACACCCAGATCACTCAGACTAAGATCCGAAGCTCTTAATCAGTACTTGATATGATTATTATGATCACTGTTAGTATTTGTTAAAAATAAGAGGAACAAAAACACAACCAATAATCCCCTTCTTTTATCCTCCCTTGATTTACAACTTAGGTAACTTAATCTTTCTGAAATTTGTGTTTACTTACCATTTTTTAATCAAAATAATGCATTCTCTCTCTTTTTTTTTTCTTTTGAGAGTGAGTCTTGCTCTGTCACCTAGGCTGGAGTGCAGTGGTGTGATCTCATGGCACTTCTGGTGCTCAAGCGATCCTCCCACCTCAGCCTCCTAAGTAGCTGGCACCTCATGCCATAGGCACATGCCACCACTCCCAGCTAATTTTTGTTTGTTTCTTTGTTCATTTGTTTGTTTTTGGTAGACATGGGGTTTCATCATGTTTCGCAGGCTGGTCTCAAACTCCTGGGCCTCAAGTAGTCCTCCCACCTCAGCCTCCCAAAGTGTTGGGATTACAGGTGTGAGCCACCATGCGTGGCCAATGCATTCTAAAGATTAGAAATTTAGACAAAAAACTTCAAAGGCAACAGGAAAGTTTTTCTCCTCTCCCTTTCTTCTGACTGCAAAATCTCACTTCCCACATAAAGATTCTTATGTAGCCTTCCAGAAATTTCCCGTGCATTTAGAGAGATTGTGTGAGTGTGTACCCTTTTTTGTTGGTTTAACACAAATGAGATTATACCATAAATACTCCCTTACAGCTTCTTTTTTTTTCCACTAACACAATATATATTGTACATAATTCCATATTGGAACATAAAAACCTGTCTTTTATTTTTATTTATTTATTTTTATTGTACTTTAAGTTCTAGGGTACATGTGCACAACGTGCAGGTTTGATACATAGGTATACATGTGCTGTGTTGGTTTGCTGCACCCATCAACTCATCATTTACATTGGGTATTTCTCCTAATGCTATCCCTCCCCCAGCCCCCAACCCCCCGACAGGCCCCGGGGTGTGATGTTCCCCTGCCCTGTGTCCAGGTGTTCTCATTGTTCAGTTCCCACCTGTGAGTAAGAACATGCGGTGTTTGGTTTTCTGTCATTGTGATAGTTTGCTGAGAACTGTCTTTTATTTTTAATGGTCAAATACTCCACAGTGTGGACATGCTGTAATCTATCTAATTAGCCACTTAATGATGGACGTTTACATTGATTTCAGCTTTTTGCCATTATGAGCAGTGCTGTAGTGAACAAGCTGATATGTGTGTCTTTGTGAAGGACAAGGCCTTGAGGTAGGAGGGCTGAGTCACTGGGTATGAACATTTAAAATGTGGACTGAACGACTTACTGTCCCAGCCACCCTGTCTTCACCCTGATTCTTCAGCCCTGAGAAGATCACATATTTTCACCTTTATCAACACAGAACATGAAAGGTAGTATCGCCTCTGTTAGGGGTCATGTTAAGAATATTTTGTGCTATTAGCATGTGCATTTCTTTTCTATATTATTCATTCACCATTCTATTGTTTCTTAGATTTGTTACAAATACAGTTCCTCGTTTGTCATTTATTTTGGGGCCCCATTTACTATTCTTTTATAGACAATTTTTTTTTTTTTTTAAGATGGACTCTCACTCTGTCGCCCAGGCTGGAGTGCATTGGAACGATCTCAGCTCACTACAACCTCTGCCTCCCTGGTTCAAGCAATTCTCCTGCCTCAGCCTCCCGAGTAGCTGGGATTATAGGCGCACGCCACCACGCCTGGCTAATTTTTGTATTCTTAGTAGAGATGTGATTTCACTGTATTAGTCAGGCTGGTCTCGAAGTCCTGACCTCAAGTGATCCACCTGCCTCAGCCTCCCAAAGTGCTGGGATTACAGGTGTGAACCACTGTGCCCGGCAGACAATTATAATTTTTATGTAGTTACATTTCACTTCATTGTCTTTGAATTTTGTGTCATGCTGAATTCCCACTCCAAGACAATAAAAATTCTCTTGCATTTCCTTCTGGTGCTTTTGTAGATTTTTTAAATGTTTAGTTTTTGAAGTAATTTGAATTTATTTTGGTATAAGAAAGGAGATGGGAGTTCAGTTTAACCTTCTCCAAAATGATAACTTTCTCCTGTCCTAGTATCATTTATGGAATAAGGAGACATTTTTGTCTTAGTCCAACACACCAGAACGCAAGGCCAGAACACCCTCAATTCCCTGCATTTTGCTTCCAAAGGAAACATCCATCCTTTTGCTGAAGTGACTGGTCTGCTTTGCTCCGAGTTACCACGTTTTCCTCTGTGATGCTAGTAAGCCTGCTCCTTCAGCTGTCTGCTCTCCTAAACCTCCCCTTCTTCCTCTCCACATAGCATCTCCCCAGTCCAGAAAGAAGCCTTTGGCTTCCGGGCTTTCAAGTCATGCTTCTGCCCAGCTCTTTCCCCTTCTCCTCTATCTGCAGGGTCATTTGCACTCATAAGCTTCACTGCCTCCCCTTAACACCTCAACCCCCTGGCATCCAAGCAGTAACCCCCCATGCTGCGCTGAACCAGCTCCTGCACAGATACCCAGGGTTCCAGGCATGCCAAAAACATGTGCGTGCCTTTGTCCAGTTTGACCTGTCCAAAGCGTCTGACCATTCTGGCTGGCCACTCCAGGAGGCTCTCCCAGCCCTCCTCACTCCTGCCTCCCCTTCTGCTGGCCCTGGCCCAGTCTCGTCTGCTGGCCCTCCCACTCTGTCCCTCTAAAACTCAGGCACTGCCCAAGCTTTCATTATTGGTCCCTCTCTTTCCCTGTGATCACATCCACCGCCATGACACACCTGTCTCCTGCAAGGATGACTCTGAAGTCTGTCTCCTGTCCTGACATCTCACTTAAGTGTGGTGGTTCAGAGCACAGGTGTTGAAACCGGACAAGCCTGGGTTCAGATCTCTGCCACTAACCAGCTGACCCTGAGCAAGCCACTTAGTATTCCTCAGCCTCCTTATGGGCTTGTCTCTCCTCCTGGACTGTGGGGTTGCTCAGGCAGAGACTAGATATTAGATTAGATTTTACCATATTGAATGCCCACTTGGTGTCAGGTGTTACACTGTGCACTTGATGCAGCCCATCTCGGATGAAGTAGGTGTGTGTTTGTATTCCCTTTATATCTCAACTCAGAGCTATTTGAATCCAAAACCCATTTCTTCCCAAGATTTGTTGGTATGTCTACAGAAGCTTATGCTCTAGCAGAAGACAAGCCATGTCCTCCTGGGAAGATGTCCTTTCCAGCCGTCTTAACTGCCTGTGCTCTTTCCACTGGCTTAGCCAGCTTTCTGTCTTTCCTTAGCATGAGCACAGGGCAGATGCTTGGTCATTGTTTAGTCAATGAAGGACAAGTATCTTCATTCATTCGTTCACCCATTCATTCATTGGACACATATTTATCCTTGTCTTTGTGCCAGACTTTCACCCAGGTATTGGGATTCATGGTAACAAGGGGCGACTCGACCCTCGAGGAGCTAGGTAGGAGCGTATTGTGATGCAGCAAGTAAGTACAGGGGCTGGGGAAGACAAAGGGCAAGGAGGAAGGGACTTCAGTGCGTCAATGACAAGCAGGGCATAAGGAAGGGACTTCAGTGCATAAGTGACTAGAAGCAGAGAAAGCAAGAGGTAGCAACCTCGTGCGACCCTGACCCTGTGCTTGGGCTTGCGCAGGGGAAGGGGCCCTTCCAAGTGTAATCAGAGGTGTGATGAGGATATGTTCTTCCACTGCTCCCTCTTTTCTCTGCTGATATCTGCAAGGACCGTCTGCTCATTTACCACCCTCTCAGAGTGCCTGGAGATCAGGGACTGTCTTTTTTAGCACAGAACCTAGAACAGTACCTGATCCACAGTAGATGCTCAGCAAGAGTTTGCTGGGTGAATGAGTGGATGTTACAGTGCAGGGCATATGAGCAAAAGGGTCTACTTGTTCTTAAAACAAAAGCATGAACTCATGAGCTGCTTACATCCTGTTCATTTATTTTCTTTGAAGAACAAGATCCATTTTCTAAGTACCAGATGACTTAAATTAATTTATTAAAATGTTAATAAGATTGCCCTTTTTAAAATATAAGCAAGACTTTTTGTTTTCCTGTGGTTTTAACGGCATCTCCACAAAGCAAAATCAATCCTTATGGCTATGTGCTTATTAATATAGGTCCCTTTTGGACACCAGGATGTTTAATACCTACTGCCTTCTAATGGGGAAAAAGAAAATTTCAACTTCTTTTCTCTTAAAGGGACAGCTCTTTTGAAGAAGGAAGAGAGGTTATCCAGTTATAATTTTGAACCCCTTTCTTGTGAAACTCCATGCCACTCGCCATTTATATCCTGCTTTAGATTGTTGGGGTTTATTTATTTGAATACCTACAAAGTGGACATCTCGGGATCATTATCGTTAAGAATATGTATGAAAAAAATTTGTCTTCAATGCAGGCAAGTCTGAAGATAAGAAAATGGACTAGATTACCACTTAGTTTCTTGTATAAAAGCTTTGATACACAAGAAAAAAAAAGTATGACTTTTGGTTCTTACTCTTTAAAAAAATGGACAAGTAAAAATTGTATGTATTTATGGTGTGCAACATGATGTTTTGTTAGATGTGTACATTGTGAAATGATTTAATCCAGTTACCACATCCATTACTTCACATACTTACCATTTGTTTATGGTGAGAACATTCGAGGTCCACTTTCTTAGCAGTTTTCAAGTATGCAATACATTATTATTAATAGCCTCCATGTTATACAATAGATCTGCAGTGGTTCTTACTATTCTTAACAGCTCAAGTGGAGCATTAAATAAGATTCAGGCTTGCCTTCTTATTTAGTTGTCAGACTGTTTTTCTCCAATTTTGTTTATTTCTAGTCACATAATTGCACAGCCGAAAGATGAGAAATTACCACTTCTGTGCCATACACTTGATTTTGTCGGTCTAAAGGGGGAGAAGAGGGGTGTGGGAATAGAGAGAGAACTGAGGTTTGATGTGAAATTCAAAATTGGAGATTGTAGAGGCATAGCAGAATTACTCAGTAGTAAGCTTATTCTCCAGAAATTTTTTTACCAACTTTATTGCATTGGTGCAAGTTCATTCCTTTTGAATAGGAAACCTTTGCTATACTGTATATGATTATGGCTATAATAATAATAGCAGTTACCATTTAATGCATTGCTTATATGCTACATGCTATAACCTGTTTTCACTGACTAAGGATAAAAAAAAATGCATGCCACTGAAAGCTGCAGAATTCTACATTTAAGTATTTAAGATGATTTCTCCCACAGCAGATGAAGGATGTTGTGCAGGGATAGAGCACAGGGAACCTTTCATTTGTGCATCATAGGAAAGGTGGAATTAGAACACAGTACTTTTATTTTCTCTTTCTTCCTCCAACCATGTCCCCATAAGCTCTAGATTAGCCAGCTAGAGGCCTCATCTCTGAATGTCTTTCTAAATAAATACACGTTGGCTGTAGGTTAGTTTTGGTAGCACATGGAGCCTAAACCCTGGAGAGAGGAAAGTGGGGTGAAGGGAAGAAAAAGCTTTAGTAATGAAATAATATAAATGTGCCAGGTACTTTCACTTAAAATCTAAGATTTATGCTTTCATTATAGTCTCTACAACTGTATGTGGCAAATGCTAGATTATAAAAATCATGCATGCAGATTAAATCTTTTACAATAAAAAATTCTCTATAACATAAAATATTCTCCACTCTCAGGCAATGGCCTCCTTCAAAACTGATGCATTTCAGCTAAAAAAATATAGAAGGTCCATGAATGTCAAGCAAAATTAGATTTAACTAGTAATTCAGGTGTTATACAGGCCACACTGATTACTGTCCTCTCTCATGGCTGATTAAAGGATGTGTCTAAACAGTGGTTCTCAAACAGGGTTACCTTTTTAAAATACACATATTCAGGCTCGTAGTTCTGAGCCCCTGGGCTCTCCTAAAGTCATTGTTCTAAACCACTCTTAGGATGAAGAGAGAGATGTGTATGATATACAACTAAAGTATTGATGGGTTTTCAATATCTAGAGGGCTTATGACCATGTATAAGTTTATTCTCAGTTGAATGATCAATTTATTAATTTTACACATCTAATAAATGAAACTTTAAAATGAATTTTTGTTAAACATTTAAGCATTGATTAAAAGCTAAATTATATTTCTATAACCAATTTAAAAAGCAGTTGCTAATCTAATATGGCTGTTTCTTTTAAAGTCTTCAAACACCTTGAAGGGTAACTAAAACAACACAAAAATAGTCATTACAAAACCAGTTACTACATTTACAATTCCACCTATTTCAAAATATTGACATCATTGGTTTAATTCAAATCTCATTCTTTCTGCATAACATCATAGGGGTTCAGAAATGTCACATTAATTAATACCTGTCTCAGTTAAAAACAAAAGAAAAAAAATAGCTGCAGTTACAGGACCTGGAGGAGATATCACCTGATTCCTGGACAGGGCACTGGTCACCAGTCTGGACTGCCTCATTATGGGCGAAGTTCATTTGTTATAAAGTTTACTTATTACAAAGTATGTCTGGGGATTGGGGGGGAGGTATTTTTTTGCTTGGTTCAACAGGAATGCTCTTAACAGCAATAAGGAACAAAGGGGATCCATGTGAAGGAAGGAGAGTTCTCTTAGAGACAGACTGAGTCTAAGATGCTAGCATTGTGTCTTCTAGGTACATTGAGCAGGCAGGTGAAAATGCAGACCTAGAGCTCAGAGGCCATCTGGGCAGGAGGCCTGAGTTTGGAAGTCATCTGGTAAGAGGTGAAGCTGGACTATATTACCTAGAGGGAGTGACTAGAAAGAGAAGAGGCTGAGAAGAGCAGTAGGAAGAAGAGAGTTGTGAAATGGGATGTTTGGCAACATCTCTTAGAGAGAGCTCGGCAGGGAGGCCAGTTGAGCATGGCCCGTGGGAAAGAATGGAATCTGCTCACAGGGGACCTGGAGCCAGGGCGTGGTCAGGAGGCAGGGGCACCAGACCTAGAGGAGCAGTGTGGTGGTGAAGAGGAGGAGAGGACACAGGGACCATTTGAAAATCTAGGGAATGGGCAGATGGGCCCGCGTGGGGTCTTGTTTTGTTTTCTTTGGATTTTAGGTTGTGGTTTTTATAAGGATGTAAAGATTGTATTGTGTGTGTTGACGGGGAGGAAAAAGCCAATGCAAAAGAAATCATTGACGACACAATACAGGGTAGAAAACCATTCATGGAGCCTGGTCCCAGGGCAATGAGGGGAAAGTAGGGTTTCCTACGTGAGTCCTCGATACATCGTGGAAGAAAAGAGGGAGAGGACAAATGAGAGCTATGCAGGACAATTCTAAGGCAAAGAAGTTGGAGAAGCTCACATTTTCTTTTCCCACCTTGTCATTCCTCTTTCAACCAGGTTTGTGGTTTTGTTTTTTTAAAAACAAACAAACGAAAACCTTGTAATTGTGTAATCAAATATTTCAATTATTTCTTTCATGGTTTTGTTTATTTGGCGTGAAAATTCATCTTAAATGGGCGTGATCCTTTCAAAAAATTAAATGAAGAAAGCAAAACTCTGTGCATAAAGTCTGCATTGTAGGATTAAGATGTATTGCTTGAGAAAAGTGAAAAGGGTTCAATAATAATGTAGTGGATGTAGGGAGGGTGAGAGGCACTCCATTAACAATGGGTTCAAGGATAGCTGTACAGCAGTGATAACAAAGGTGAGTGACATACTTCACTAGCAAGACCAGTCAGTCCTGTTTTACAGTGTTCTGGCGCACATGGGAGAGAGAGATTGGTGCCATCTTCCCCAGGCTAGGATTGGCAAGGAGAATGCAGCAATAGAAGTTAGGTGAAGCAAGGGTATCCACGAGAGCATCGCTGCAGTGATTGGTCACCAGGTCCACGCTGGCAGAGCAGCTGAGAGGCTGGAGGCAACTCTGGGCCAGGAAAATAGGAGGAACCAACGAACCAGAGATCATGTTGAGGAAGAGCAAGCTCAGGGGTGACAGATTGAGAAAAGTGGGAAGACAGGAAACTGAGTCAAAGTCTAGGGCTCAAATATGTTCTAAATGGTGGTGAGATCCAAGCTGCAACCTACCTAAGGTTAGGTAACATTAGGGAGGCAATGAGGATCTACATTTGAGGATGCTAGGGCCTGTGTAGAGCCAGGCTGTTTGGAAGATCTTTAGCATAGATGCTGAGCCTAAAAATGCAGACTGAATATTGACAGGAAAACTGAGCTCGGTATTGACATTGTCACAGTAAGGAAATCACGAGATAACAGTCACACGCTTAGGAAGATGTTCAATCCTGCCACGGTGTACACCTGTGCCACCATACATGGTAGCCCCGGGGAACGGCTGCTGTCTGTGGAGCAGCAGGAGGTGTAAACTGCGGAAGAATCCACAGGTTCTGTAGAGACCTCTAGGATTACCAGCCCTTCAGATTTCATTAGTAACCAGCTCCTGTGACATGCTGGCATTGTCAGATTAGCCCCATAAACAAATCTGCTTATTTAGCTGAGTCATTATTTGTGGTTCTGTGTTTAGCTTTAGCCTTGTTTCTGCCTAAGAAACTGGTATGTGACCAGAAGTAAAGGAAATTGATTATTCTGAGTGACTGGCACAGTAAGATTCTATCTGCCATACTTACATCTCCTATGATTAGGCACAGTAAGAAATTATTGATAAGCAGAGCCATAGTCTAAAGTGTGTTGTAAGCATGATGGGGCAAAATGTTATAAAACCCAACTTAGTAATGCTGTTTCTCCAAAAATGAAACACAGCATTACCATAGGATGCAACAATTACACTTCTGGCTATATACTCAAAGGAAATGAAAGCAGGGTCTTGATTAGGTCTCTGTACACCTATGTGGGTAGCTGCATTTTCACAGTAGCAAACAGGTGTAACCCAAGTGTCCATGGATGGATGAATGGGTAAACAAATGTGGTCTATACGTACAATAGAATATTATGCAGCCTTAAAAAGGAAGGAAATTCTGATACATGCTATAACATGGATGAATCTGGAGGACATTATGCTAGGTGAAATAAGCCAGGCACAAAAGAACAAATACTGTGCTATTCCAATTATATGAGCTACTAAAGTCAAATTCATAGAGATAGAAAGTAGAATGGTGATTGCCAGGGGCTGGGTGATGAGGGGTTGGGGGAGACTGAGGGATGAGAATGGAGAGTTGGTGTTTGATGGGTACTGTGTTTCAGTTTTGGAAGATAAAAAAACTTTGGAGCTGGATGGGGGTGATAGTAGAAAAACAATGTAAATGTACTTCATGCCACTGAAATTACACATAATTGCAGTTTAAATGGTAAATTTTGCTACGAATAATTAAACACTTTTTAAAAAATACATGAATAGGTCCTTCTGGAAAAGGGCTTTACATGCTAAATTTTGTGTTATATATATTTTACCACAATAAGAAAAAAATAAAAATAAAAACTTAGCCCTGACTTTGAGTTATTGAGGGGTGTTTCCTCTTTTCTTTCTTTTTTTTTTTTTTTTTTTTTTTTGTTTTTTTGGTTTGTTTGTTTTTGGCAATTTTACATTTACTTCTCAGTGAGAAGAAAAGCAGCAAGTGCATGGCCTATAGATCATTTTCTAATCTGACAAAGGCATGTAAAAATATATGCTTTATTCAGCTTTTGAAACGGTGGATTCAAACTGCCAGTAAACTTCTTTCCTTAAAAGGAACTCACTGTATTTCAACGCTTTGTAGCAGTGAGGTACAATCAGAGGAAACTCTTTTTTTTTTTTTTTTTTTTTTTTTTTTTGAGACAGAGTCTCACTCTGTCGCCCAGGCTGGAGTGCAATGGCGTGATCTCAGCTCACTGCCACCTCCGCCTCCCGGGTTCAAGCGATTCTTCTGCCTCAGCCTCTGGAGTAGCTGGGATTACAGGTGCAGGCCCGGCTAATTTTTGTGTTTTTATAGAGACAGGGTTTCACCATGTTGGTCAGGCTGGTCTCAAACTCCTGACCTCAGCTAATCCACCTGCCTCGGCCTCCCAAAATGCTGGGATTACAGGTGTGAGCCACTGCACCTGGCCTATTTCTGTATTTTTCATTCCCCGCTCCACCCACTACTGCAGAAAGTAGTTTACTTTTAGAAGCTTAATTAAAAAAAAAAAAAAAGAGTTATGAATCCCTAAACAATTTTTTTAAGAACCATGTGAGAATTCCTACATCCAGGTGTTAGCTTTCAAATTATTTGCCTTAGAGGGTCTGTCTGTTTATTCCAATAAACTTCCTTTTCAGAATGGCCTTCAGTTTTAGTTTATGATACACATAAGAAAATTGAGTAGTATAGTGGCCTCTTTCTTCATACTTGACTCTGAATGACTTTTGACTGTTACCAAAAAAATCTACCCTCAAAGGATGCAACTGCCAACACAGACAATATACAAAACAAAGTATGTGTGATTCAATAAATATTGAGTGCCTACTATGTTGCCAGGTGTTCTGCTAGACACCAGGGATATAAGATGAAAAGACAATTTTAGTCACTGCTCTTAAGCTGGTGACACTCTTAGGGGAAGACAGACATTCTCACAAGTAATTAAATACTTAGTTAAAAAAAAAATAGTGGCATATGTGGGTATAGTGAGAGCCCAGGGTGAGCAGTGGCTTTCAGAAATGTTTTAAACAAAGACGTCATCCCCAGAATGCATTATCCCCCAAGTTGGCAGTGTTGAGGAGCGCGTGAGGCCTAGTATGTTCTTGGAAAGAAATCTTTATTTCCTGAGAATCACTTCTCATCCCTGTATAAATGCATCTGACCTGTTTGTAAGAGTATGAAACAGACACTGCTATGTGTGATAACTTGTCCTCGAGCCCCTCAAACTCTTCAGAGAAGATAACAAGTCACAGCATCTTGTGACTCTAGTTGGATTTTTTTATTAGTCACGGAAATAACCTGGTGCCGTAAGGATACATTTGACAGCTGTAGCTAAAAGGATTAAAGAAAATACATAAATGAAAGATTCCTCAAGCCAGAGCGGCAGGACAGAAACAGCATGTCCTAACAAGGCAACGTGGGAGACTGGGTCTAGAGGTCAATTCAACAATGGTCACCTGAATGATCATTGTGTTGACACCAAGAGCTTGTGTCTCACTGAATGGTGCCCCCTAGAGAGGCAGGCAGTGCCTAGGAAGGGGTCATCCCGGAGAGCTGGGTAGGCTTTCCAGTCAGATGACTGAGTTCCAAGCGATTAAAATGTTTGGGTGCAGTACTCCTCCAAGGACATGCTTATCCCTAACTGTTACTGCATTACTAGGAAAACTTCTTTGTTCAGTCTGTAAGAGGACTGTGGCATTTGAGGACAGCCTTAAGAAGATATTAAGTAGCAGAGAATCTTCTACGCTCACCTGTGATTTCAGCAGTGGTCACACCTGTTAAGAGCAGAGTTCTTTTAAACACACGGGGAAGACACAGGAGGCCTTGAGAGTCCTCTGGCAGCTGTCGATGGTGCAACTGTATTCGCACTTTTCCATATTTTCCCTTCCTATTGGCATTCTCAAGTTTTGTGCACATGTATGACATTTACACAGTAGGGGATCTATTGAGATATTTTCAAACAGTCAACAATCCTAATCAAAATGTGTGCTACTGAAATAAGTTATTTGGAGTATTAAAACAAGTATCTTCCTGTGGACAACACTACTCATTTGTAATTATGTGATGGGAAGCTTGGGGAAATGTACAGGAGCTTTCAGAACTTATACTTCTGCCTCATGCCATTGTAGATGAAATTATATACTCACACTTTTAGAAATCTGAGATACACATTCACCAAAACTTTTAACCACTGTGAAAGAAACAGATAATCAGCTGTCATTATCCTTGTGTTCAAGATGAAGACCGAAACTTCATTTTCAAAGGTAACTCTGTCAGATCATAACATAAGCACACTTCCTTCAGTGCTTCAGGCCTCAGTAACAGCCAAGACTTATTTCTAAACCACACTGCTCATCAGGGTGCAGTCTATGAAAACTGCCCAGGAAACCTCCTTCCCATTGGTTCCTGAGGAGGGGAGGAACGGACAGCAGACAGGTGAGTACTCAATTTGATTATCTCAGGTAAAGCTTAGAACCCAGCAAAGGCTAACAGACAGTATCACTGGTAGCACCAAAGAAGCCATTTCAGATAATTTCTTAGTATTCCGTAGGCCTTAGTATACCAACAATCTGTTTCTACCACCTTAAAATTTAATAGCGTAGGCCAGGCACGGTGGCTCATGCCTGTAATCCCAGCACTTTGGGAGGCTGAGGCGGGTGGATCATGAGGTCAGGAGTTCAAGACCAGCCTGGCTAATATGGTGAAACCCCATCTCTACTAAAAATACAAAAATTAGCCAGGCATGGTGGCACATGCTTGTAGTCCCAGCCACTTGGGAGGCTGAGGCAGAAGTATAGTTTGAACCCGGGAGGCAGAGGTTACAGTGAGCTGAGATCACGCCACTGCACTCCAGCCTGGGCAATAGAGCGAGACTCTGTCTCAAAAAAAAAAAAAAATTAATAGCGTAATACAACCACCATTTTTGTTATAACTCACAGATTATCTGGGCCGGGAATGCTGATAGTGCACATGCTATCAGCCATAGCTGGGAAGACTGTAACACTGGGTGTACTCAAATGGCTGGGGTTTGGAATCACCCGGAGACAGGTCTGGTGCCTAGGCCAGGATCAGCAGCAGCTGTAGAGCAGAATGTCTGTGTGGCCGGGGCTTCCTCACATCGTGGTAGCCTCAGAGCAGTGCGACTTCCTACTTGGTGGGCAGAACTGCAGAGGAGAGTGTTCTGGAGGACAGAGCAGAGCTGTGTGGCCTTTTGTGAAACAGCCTTGGAAATATGTAGTTTCATTTCTGCCATATTTTTTTGGTCAAAGGAGTCACAGGCTCAGATTCAAAGTGTGGGAACATAGACCCCCGATTCTCAATGGCAGGGGTGTCACAAAATGTGTGACCCTGTTTTAAAACCACCACAGGCCCCCTCTCCTTAGTATTCCACTGGCCCTTTATCCTGGAAACCTCAGGAAATGGTTTTTCCTGATTTTCTTCTTTAATTCTCCTCTCCCATCCCTTCCTCAATCCAGTTCAAGGATAAGGGCCTAGAACTCCACCTGTGTCCTATTCCCTCTTGAATCCACAGGTCGAGCAGGAAAGTGAAGGATGAGGCTGGCATGTGTAGAAGTGCCAGTGGAGGGCGCTGTGGCTGACTAGAAGGCCTCTACGTTTTAAAGGACAGCTGTTCCAAACGGAGGTGGGAATGAAGTCCTTGTGTTTCCAGATTTCCCATTTTAATGTGAAATTAGATATTGAAATATTGCTTCATAATGTTTTAAAAGCATACCATGAGATCTGGGTTTATGCTCTTGTCTATGCACTGGCTCTGAGCCCCTCTTTGAAAGACCCAGAACTCATAAAACAAGGCATTATTTAAGATTGCACATTTATGTTTATCCCCAGAAATTTCCACATTGGGGTCTGGAATGCCATTGCTTCTTTAAATACTACTTACTTTAAATCATATTTGCAAAGAATTCTTGTAACTGAGAATCTAGGCGCTCAATAAATAGACCGCATCCTTCCTTCATCTGCACATGAATGGCAGCATTTTGTGCATTAATTACGTGTGTGATGTGTCTAAGCTGAATTGGCTGAGGAGCAGAACTTTAATGATTAGCTGTATAAAACTGAAAGAGAGCTTCAATTTTGACGTTAAGCCTTGCTTATCTTTTATATTCTCAGCCTTTCTCGACGTTTGTTAGAATTTAAACTTGTCCTAAGCATGACAACATCTGTTCAAAAGAGAGGGGGGATAATATATGTTTATATATACACACCTTAATTTAGTATTGGGGACCTTCCAGTTACCAATTATAAGTGTAAAGACTAAATAAAAGTTATAGAAAATTAGACAAAATAAACAGTGACCAAGAGAAGATTTAAGAAATCTGAAGCTAAAGATTTATTTTTCTGCCTGCCCTCCTTGAAGTAACCATTAAGTTTATAAATAGCCTCCTTCCTCTGAGAAGAAAGGTCCTAGTGACACCAAACAGGATGCGACGCGCTGAGTACTCTCCCCTTTCATTTTGAAACTCGAGCTTTTGTGAAGACTATCATTGTGCATCCGTCTGTCTCTCCTCATTACCACTTCTGGTTGGAGCCGGAAGCAGGACAGATGCATATAGTCCTCATTTCAACCACAGGAATTGACTTTAAAGGTGACACTGTCCTTAGTAACACAGCTGATGCCCTGTAGGGGTAAAATTAGTTGTGTTTTCTCTGTGCAGGTGAAATTTTAATGAATTTTTTGATACTCTGTAGAGCATTCACTGCAAAATGCGTTGTAAGCTCTAAACACCAACAGCTGATTGTGAAAGACTCTTTATTTTTTCTTTGCCCTAACTTAAAAAAAAACAGAGAATGTTTCCAGAGAATCTACTAAGGAAAACATCAGGTCTGACAACAAAAGAGAACTGAGAGAGCGAAGAGGAGGCAGCTTTCTGCACTTTGCACACTGGGTTGCAGTTCTCACAGAATCCTGGGGCTCAGGACAAAATGGAAGCTTCCTCCTTGGACCTGCATTTACCCCAGGCCTCGAAACAAAGCCCCCCAGTCTATAGTTTCCAGTGTCACTTCACAGATCTTTTCATACCACAGCAACCCATACTGCCAGGAATCTGCCTGTTGTCTCCAGCACAGCTTCCTATTGAAAGCAACTCTATGTCTAACCTGCCTTAAAGCAGGTTACGGCTATATTTTAAAACCCACCGCATTAATTCAGGACATATCTTTTTATCAAATGGATTTCTCTTCTGCATACATATTTAAACATGAGCCGTACACTCAGAGCAATGGACTGTTTTATGAAAGGTGATTAGCATATAGTACTCAATCAAAGAATTTGTAAATGAAAAAAGTTGAAAATATGAAATATTGATCACTGGGGTACTCATTAACTGTTCAAAAGCATAATTTAGTTGAATTTCAAATGTGTTAATGTAGGATATCATTCATAGAAAAGAAAAGGATTGTAATTTTACACATCATGTTTAACTTTTTAAAGTGTGGCATCTTTAATGCAGGTATTTGTTCTTAGAACTCTTATTGTATGACTGATTCAGACTTCGTGATTCATTAGCCCTACAAATCTCGAGAACATACATGAATGTGCTCATACAGAGGTTAGAAACTTGGGCTAGCTCAAGGGTAGCCTAAGAGAATATTGGAGACAGAAGGTTCTCATTCCTTGAGCAGTGCTCAGAGCATAGCTCCATGTATAGTGAGCATAACAGCGTTGATGTGTCTGATTGGTGTGTTGGTATTAACAAACATGTAATGGCACAGAGGACAGGAAATTTCATTACATCTCTGGCAAATTCATATTGAAAGAAAGAAGGACAGATGGTTGAAAACAGCCATAAAATATTCTATTACATGTCTGCAGAAGTCATTAGCAGTTAAAGAGATGTTATTAATGGATCAGATTCACTTGGGGAGTCATGTTTCTATAATGCACATTAAAGCAATGATACTTCCGGTATTTTTAATGCAGTCAGGGCCAAAGACAAACCTGTCTTTCTGAATAATTAGAAAATGGATTTATTGGCAGTGAAGAAGCTGCTCTTCAGCTTGACTCCAGATCATTTGGGGAGGTTGTTTTTATCATCTAATGTGAAAGAGTAGAATGTAACTGGCTGCTAGCCCTATAGGTCACTGAAATAATGCCATATTGCTTTATTAGTATTTTGGGGGAGAAAGGAAGGAATAAAATTAGTATTTCTGAAAATCATCAAGGAATAATTTTAGTCTCTCAAGTGCCTTAACGTGTCTCTTTAGAATTAATGCAAACATCAGGGTTTTGACTTTGTGAGCATGAGAATGATTTTTGGTGCGTGTTTCTGTCTGTGTGATAAACAAAACAGTGTCTGTGAGATGCTGGGGAGCCCTTTGGACCAGGTGCAGTCATTTGTGTGGTCCTCCCTTTGCAGAGAGGAACTTTCAGCCCCACAGGTCCAGGATGTGAGAACACGAGATGCTCAGTCCCTGGGAGGAGAGCTTTCCTTAGGGCATCTCACATTTCAAAGCAGGGTAGGGTCGGGGCAGCTTAGTGACGCTAGCATCAAAGCAAAAGGAAGGGAGGTGCTCGTGAAACTGTGGTCATCGTTCCTGGACAGTCCAGAGCTTCCTCTCCCTCGAAAGTATTTGGAAATGCACCGACAAATCCTCCCTCCTCAGCTCCTTTTTTTGGGCCTTCTGAGAATTGTTGCCGCTCAGGTGATGCTCTTCCGTGCTGTGCAGCTCGTGTTACAGCGTGCTTTCCCAGCATGTTGGAACACACGGTGTGCAGCAAATCCTCACTTGCCTCCTTTTAGATCAGCTGCCACCCTAGGGTTTCCGGGTAGGCCTGTCGTCAGGTGGTTAGTATGTCTCCAGAGCACCTTTCAGGGATGGTGAAGGGTTCCTGAATGCAGCCTGTGAGGCTTGTGGGTGTTGACTCTTTGCATTCTGTAGCCAGGAGAGCTTTCCCTAAAGGACACGACCCAGAGCTCCACATAAAGACTGCAGTCCTGTCCATGACCCTCTATTGCCATGTGGGTGTCACTGTTATGTTTATGGACTCTCTTCCAATGGAGTGGTGATTTACAGTGTTCTGTCCTAGAAATTGATGAACTCTGAGTAGGTTTTCCCCCATTCATAATTCTTCCCGTATCCCTTCAACCTAAAAATCATGATAAAAAACAATTTAAAGATGCTGTATAAATCTGCCATGTTTGATAAAACAGGGGAAATCTCATCACCTACAATGACAGTGGTGTAAAAGCCCTGCATTTTGTATACTTTTGCTTCATGAGGGTTTTCGCCACAGAAAGAGGTGCTTTGTCAGCACGTTAGACTCTTAAAATGTTTATACGGTTGGTTAACAAGCACCAGCAAAATGGTAACAACTGCTTATCGATTCTTATATCGAGTACGGGAAAAATTTAAACTCCCTGATTTATTTCTGCTTATAAAAATATTTCCTGGCTTTCTTTTAGCCTTCACTGTTTCTCCCCCCACCACTTCCCCTAACACACACACCAGGAATCATTTATTTTTGTTTGATGTTGGTGTGTCTTTCTCAGGCAAGAGGTATAAACTGGAGGCCAGAATAGGTCTTCCAAATGTTAGATGCTGAATGGCTTTAGTGATTCACAGTTGTAAACATAGGAGCTGGAGGGATGGAGGACTCTCCCGAAACAGTGTTTTAGTGTTGTGCCTGACAGGAAAGGAGAGTTAGGGTAGGAGCTGGAGAGGGATGTAACGTAGATGGATGACTAGGGGTTTGGTTGGCATTAGGAGGGGTGGCTTAAGGGAAGTATTGCTTTTTTATTACACAGATAATCTGTGGTTATTGTAATAATATTTGAGGGTAGAAAGAATATTCATAATCTTTTTATCATGAAATATTATTTTCATGTATATCCTTTCAAAATGTTATTCCACAGATAGATAAATATGAATGCATAGTTTTCCTTAAATGGAATCCTACTAATCATTTATAACTTACTTTTATTATTTCCTAATTTCAAATTAACATCTTTCATCAGTAAAAAATATGCCTGCATCATCAGTTTAAAATGGACACATAGGGTACACTCAACGCAGTAACCATCATATGTTGAGCCAACCCCTAATGGTGGACCGTTAGGTCACTTCAGCTTTTGCTTCTTTAAGTGGTGCTATGATGAACACCTTTGTGAATCCTATATCTTTGTTCACTAGGATAGATTATTAGAAGTAGAATTGATAGGTCAAAATGTATACCCAGTATAAAGGGATTTTATACATCCCCAATTGGGGAGAAAAGGGTGTGTGTTTGTTTTTAACATTCTACTGCTGTGTTACTCTTGTGGTATAAGACTGGATGAAACCCTGTTACTCGTGTAGCCCTATTTAAAAGAAAGAAAGTCGCGAGGCTGAGGCACAAGAATCGCTTGAACACGGGAGGCAGAGGTTACAGTGAGCCGAGATCGCGCCACTGCACTCCAGTCTGGGCAACAGAGCGAGACTCCGTCTCAAAAATATTAAATAAATAAATAAATAAATAAATAAAAGAAATAAAGTGAGAAAGCTCTTTTGATACCCAAGAATATTTTGGGTCACAGGCCCTTTGTGAATCTGACTAAGCTTTGGATACTCCCCTTGAAAAATGCATATATATATATATGTGCACATACACACACAATTCCACTAAGGCATGGACCTAATCCATGGATTTCAGTTAAGTCTTTGATTTCTAGCTATTTCCTAATGATTGGTTTTCGTATATAGGTCAGTATGCTAATTCCAGTAGGTTTTCTGGGAAAATAAAATGAAAATGCTTGCTTTCAAACAAACATTTGATGTTGACATTTACCTTGCCCCCTTTCTCAGATCCAAAACCCTTTGGCATCCAAAGATGCCAGGTGGGAATCCCATAACCTCTTCAGCCTTCAACCAACACTGTACACTGTAGCCAAGCTAGGCTTTTCTCCTAAAATTCTGCTTTCACAACCATTACCAAATCCCTGACACTTCAGCTCTGTCAGCCTGCCCAGTTGTTGTCTGCGTGACCCTGGGCTATAGCCGTGTTTGTACCTTGTCCGTAATACCCCTCCACGGCACCTTTGCTGGCCATTTCTTTTTAAACGCTTGTCTCTCTGAAAGCTTTCTCAAGTTATCCTACCGTTGGAGCATTCCCTCCTACACTGGTCATGGGTCCCTCCCTCCAATCCCAATAGAAGGCTCACAGCAGACACAGAATGCAAGGTGATCTGTGGATCTTACAAAATAGTGAGAAAAATCATCGGTAAATAGGCAAGCGAATAAGTCAGCGTGTAATTGTAAATTGTGAATTGTATCCCAAGACAAGAATCACTTTCAAAGTTGAAAAAGAAGTTTTAAATAAAGGGGGAAATGTGTATGGTGTATATGTATGAAAATAGGTGTGTATTTCACATACTGTCTACTCTCATTCTCATTATTCATATTTATAAATTCGCCTACTCACTGAATTTATTTGTAACCTTAGAACCCATGCTCACTGCATTTTTGCCTTGTATAGTTATCTGCTCAGTTCCACTTATTTGACTATACTCTTGGCCGTCATTTAAAGTCCCGTTGTAATTCCTCATCTTAAAAGGGATTCCTGCTTGAAAATACTCCTGTGTGCCCAGGTGCCTTTTGTCCACGCATTTTGTTTGTGCCAGTTCCTTCCTTTTGTTCTTATTCTGGCCAGTTTTATCTCCACCATTGAATTCCAAAATGATCAGATCTGACTGCTGTCAGATAAGTGATAAGGTTTGGTGTTCAGGCAAGAGCAAGTCAGTGCCAGGCACGGTGGCACACACCTGTAATCACCGCTACTCTAGAGGCTGAGGCAGGAGAGTCGCTTGAGCCCAGGAGTTTCTGGCTAACCTGGGTAGCATAGTGAGAACTTGTCTCAAAAAAAAAGTTAAAAATGAAGAAAAGAACAAGCCAAATGCACATTTGTCTTTTTTCCCCCTAATTTTTTACATTGCAAATTTTCAAGAATAAAAATAATAATATAATGAAAACCCATATACCTTCCCCAGTTCACCAGCTGTTACTGTTTGCCACATTTGCCAGGTCTTGCTCATTCACACACGCCCTGGCCCTCCTCCCTCTCCTTTATCACCGTCACTCTTGCAGTATATTCTTGCCTGAGCCATTTGAAAGTAAATCGCACATGTAATGAGACTTCACCCCTAAATTCTTCAACATACGTCTCCTAAGAAGAAGCGTGTTCTCGTACATAACCACAGTACCTATGTCACACCCAAGACATTTATCAATGATGCAGTAATACTATCCATTGCCGGAAAATACAATCCAATACAAATTTCTCCAAACTCCCCACCAAGCCCTTCCCTGCCCCTGCCCCTGCCCCATCCAGGATCAGTAAAGGGTCAGTCCATTGGCTCTCCTTGACTATCATGTTTGTTTTATCTCCTGTAATCTGGACACCCCCACTTTCTCCTGTTTTTGTCTTTCGTGATGTTTTGGTTTTGGAGAACCCAAGCCAGGTGTCCTGCAGTCTGGACGTGTCTCATTGTCGTCATGCTTGGGTTCAGGTTAAACATTTCTGGCAAGAATACTGCATGCATGATGTGTGCTTCCCATTCTGTCACATCTGCAGGCACGTATTGTGAGTTCCATTATTGGCGATGCCAACTTTCAGCATTTGCTTGAGATCTCTCTTTCTCCTTGTCATTAACAAGTAATATTTGAAACCTAGTTGATACCCTGTTCTGCAGCAGTTTTGCCCACGTTTTGCATCCATTGATGATCACCCTTGCCTGATTTACTTATTACATGAGTGGTTGCAGAAGATGATTTTGTACGTAGCTGGCCTTATTTTATAAAGAAGAGCTTCTTCTTTCCTCCTTCCTCTCTCTTCTCCCACTGTTTTTTGTTTTTTTTTTTTAAGTATCATGATAGATTCATGGATTCTCTCTTATTCAGCACATTACAATCCATGACCATCCTTATTCTTTTTGATGTTCACATTGTCCCACATCCGCCAGTGGGAGCCCTTGCAACCCCGTTCCTGTGTCCCTCTGACATGGCCCCATTAGTCTCTGAACACATCCTTGCTTTATAACAGTTTTTTTTTCCTTTGTCTTTTCCCGGTAGTATAAGATGCAATAGTTATTTTCTATCCATAGTTATATCAGAAGCTGAGTATTTCAAATTAGCAAACAAAAAAAGGTGTATACCCCATTCATAGCTTAAAAAAAAATGCAATGTATTTCTCTAGAAATGGATCTCTGGATCAGAGCCCAGCTACTAATAACCCAAATAAACAGGGACTTCCTGTCCATGAAGAGTACACCATTAAGAAACATCGAGCTCAGCATTGTTTGTGTGTGAAATGCCTCCTTCTTGACAGGAGAAGAAGGAAGGTGAATTCTACTTGTGATTCAGAATGTAAGAACATTCATCGGACAGGGGTTTTATCGTTTATGTTGCGTGCCCAGCACCACATGAAGTGCTATTATGGATATAAAAGGAGTTGCTGTTAAAAAGGCAAAATAAGATGAAACGAATTGAAAAATAGAGGCTTTTATGAAAAGTAAATACATTATGGTGTACTTATTAGTGTTACAGGAATTAATAGGCGAAGAGGGAAGGCAGTGAAGAGTGTGGAGGAATTAGTCTGTTTCTGTGTATTTGTGTAGGCATAGAACAAGACATTTTCTGGTATAAGACTATTAATGGTGATTATCTTTGGGGAGGGTGACCAGAGGGATAAGAGAGAAGGAAAATTAAGCTTTTAACTTTATGCCCTTCTGTGCTTTTAAAAATTTTATCCCTTGCGTATATTACTCTGACAACAAAAAGACTAATGTAAGGTTTTTGTTTTAATTAAAGTATTTGAACTTACGGGAAAAAGGTATCTACACCAACTGAACAAAATGCCTCAAGCCTCATGATGGGTTGGGTCAGGTGATGAGAGTACAGCTGATCATTCAGGCAACAGGAACTTCTGGAAGCCAGTGATCAAAGCAGGCATTGGGCTGGGCCGGCAGCTCTCACCTATAAAACCAGCATCTTGGGAGGCTGAGGCAGGAGGATGGTTTGAACTCAGGAGTTCAAGACTGATTTGGTTTGAATGGCTTTTTGGTTTTGACAAGTTTCAGGTGTATATACGTGTTGTTTGTTTCTCTCCCTTGAATATAACAACTTATATCGAAGGAAAAGAATCAAACACTCTGAATAATTCAACTTTCATTCATTCACATACAAATGGTCCCAGTTCATCCAAGCGAGCTTTTGAAAAAGAATATTTCATTCCTCCTTGATTTTAAGCAACTTATCACTTTCCTCCTGTCTCCAAAAGTAACCATGTGAAACCCAGACCAATAATTTGTTTCATCTGTGCTTAAGTCTCACCTGATGTGGTGATGATAATATACATCCCAACGTGGGTTATTTTGGGGATAAAATGACTCGGTTTTTTCTCTCTTCTACTCTTGGACCGATATCCTAGAACAAATAGGACAAGTAGGAAAAGGCTTCAATACAATAATGTTGTCTGCTCTCTTTCTACCCTGCCCCCAAAATCAACAGTCAGTAGAATACCTTGAAAACAAATGAAGAATAACTGCATGATCTATTCAGCTTAAACAGTGGGCTGGAGTATCACGTGACAGGGCTTTCTAAAATGATTGTCAAACACTCAGCTCTCCGCTGTTTATGTCATGATATGGCCATGTCAGGTAACTTCTGTGCTTTCTTAAATGAAACCTTTAAATACTTGATGTGGTTTTTAAAAGTTTTTCTATGAACGGCTTTCAAAACTACCACAGTCTATTTGTAGTGATAGTTACTGTAATGTGTTTCTTAAAAAATTTTAAGTTTTTAATGCATTACCAAAGCTGAGGTAAATACAAACACAGAACAGCATATTCTTCAGGTTAGCTCTTCACGGCACTTGCTATTCTCATGTGTCCGAATTTATTTTTATTGAAATATGTGTTATAATTACAGTTTTATATAAGTTTATAATTTTAAAAAAAACACTAAAATTATCCATCTAGCCATTCAGTATACTCGTTTGCTTAAATAATCTAAATTTCTTCCATAATTCGTAGTTTCATTTGAGAATTTTTTAGTGAATTATATGTGAAGCTCAATCACAGTACCATATTTTCTAAAAAAGAAACTAAAAGGATATAAACTTGCATTTGTGGCCGGGCGCGGTGGCTCACGCCTGTAATTCCAGCACTTTGGGAGGCCGAGGCAGGTAGATCACCTGAGGTCAGGAATTCGAGACCACTCTAGCCACCACGGTGAAACCCCGTCTCTAGTATAATTACAAAAATCTGCTGGGTGTGGTGGTATGCACCTCTAGTCCCAGCTACTCGGGAGGCTGAGGCAGGAGAATCATTTGAACCTGGGAGGTGGAGGCTGCAGTGAGCCGAGATCGCGCCACTGCACTCCAGCCTGGGCAACAGAGTGAGATTCTGTCTCAAAAAAAAAAAATTAAAAATAGGAAAAAAAAATAAACTTGCATTTGTTACAAGTTTCTTGGGAAATTGGGTTATGTCATATCTAAAAATGAATCTCCTGGAATTCAGTAATTGCATCTACTGATTAGTTTAGCATTGACACAAAACTAGAGAAAAACAAATTAGAACAAGGACAGTTGTGTAACTAATCTGCAAAAACTGAAGGAACACTTAAAGCTGCTGTGCCTTTTTTATGATATTGCATTACAGTTCTTTGAAAAATAAACACAGATATACACTTGTGTCCACGCTAGAGCAATTGACAAATTGCTATAACAGGTAGGAACAATAAGTGATCATTTGAATGGGAAATTAAGGCAAACTGATTGAAACTGGGAATATGGTGTAACTTTTATTTCTCCATTTTCTCAACTAGTAACAAAGAAAATGTTTCTAATTGTATGCTTACAAAGAATTCAGCATGATAGGAGGAAAGATATAATATTCAAAAGTACTGCATTAAAATGTTTAATTTACAATTTTGAAAGCTTCTGTAGAACATAATAACTTTTTTTTTTCTCTTGGCACTAGTAAATTTTTTTTTTTTTTTTTTTTGAGACACAGTCTCACTCTGTCGCCCAGGCTAGAGTGTGGTGGCACAATCTCGGCTCACTGCAACCTCCGCCTCCCAGGTTCAAGCGATTCTCCTGCCTCAGCCTCCTGAGTAGCTGGGATCACAGGTGTGTACCACCACACCCAGCTAATTTTTAAATTTTTAGTAGAGACTGGGTTTCACCGTATTGGCCAGGCTGGTCTCAAACTCCTGACCTCAAGTGATCAGCCTGCCTGGGCCTCCCAAAGTGCTGGGATTACAGGTATGAGCCGCCACACCCGGCCAATATGGATTTTTATATACTGAAGATATCATCTACCCAGAATACACATAAACAAAGGGAACATTACTGACACTCCAGAAACACCTAGAATTTTTTTGCAGTCACTATACTCCACCACCAATCAGCACTATCCTGACTTCTGAAATAGGTTGGTTTTTCTGTTTTTTCCCTTCTATAAAAGGAATCTCATACAGTGGTGCTGTCTTTATATATTATCTAGATGGAATCTGATCAGTCTTGCTCATTATTATTTGTGAGATTCATCCATATTGCTGCATGTAGATGTGGACAGTTCATCCTCAGAGCTGTATGTTTTTTCATGGTTTGAATAAAGCACAATGTATTCATTCTTTTTACTATTGCTGGGCATTTGGGGGGTTTCCAGTTTTGGGCTAGTGTGAATAGTGCCAATGTGAACTTTCAGATACTTATCTTTAGTGAGCTGTCATTCTAGGAATGGAATTGCTAGATCATAGATTTTGCATATGTGTCCAGCTGTAGAAAATACTACCAAGCAGTTGTCCAAAGTGGTTATGCCAAAATGCATTCCCATCAGCAACATGTATTCTAGCTTTTCTACATCCTTTCTAATACTTGGTATTTCCTGTATTATTTTTAACAATTCTAGTGGATATGGTGGTTTTAATTTGAATTTCTCTAACGAGATGATTGCCTTTTCATGTATTTATAGATGACAGCATATTCCATGTTTATAGATTAGAATACTCAATGTTATAAAGTTGTTAATGTTCCCCAAATATATAAATTTAATGCAGTCCTAGGCTGGGCACAGTGGCTCATGCTGTAATCCCGGCACTTTGGGAGGCCGAGGATCACCAGAGATCAGGAGTTTGAGACCAGCCTAGCCAACATGGTGAAACCCAGTCTCTACTAAAAATACAAAAATTAGCCAGGCATGGTGGTGCATGCCTGTAACCTCAGCTACTCGGGAGGCTGAGGCAGGAGAATAGCTTGAACCCAGGAGGCAGAAGTTGCAGTGAGCCAAGATCGTGCCACTCTAGCCTGGGTGATAGTGAGACTCTATCTCAAAAAAAAAAAAAAAAAATTAATGCAGTCCTGGGACTAGCAAATTTTCTTTTGCAGAAACTGAGACGCTCATTCAAAAATTCACATGAAAATGCAAATGGCCAAGAACAGCCAAGGAATTCTTAAAAAAAAAAAAAAAAAGTTGGAATGCTTCTGCCACCAGATGCCAAGCCTGTTCTAAAGCTCTGGTAATGAAGGGAGTGTGGCGTTGGTGCGAGGCTAGGCAAACTGATCGGTGAAACAGAACAGCCTGCAGAAAGAAACCCACTTTTATACAGTCACCTGATTATGTCAAAGGTGGCGTGCAGTGCAGTGGGCATGGCACGGCCTTGTCAATAAATGGATTTAGCCAATGGGATTGCTATTTGAAGGGAAAGATGTCTTGACCCCTTCCTCATACCATACATGAAATGGATTGTAGATTTAAATGGGAATGGTGAAACAATGAAGTGTTGGAGGAAACAAAAAACACCTTTGTAAACTTGGAGCAGGCAAAGACTTCTTAAACAGGACACAAAAGAGTGAACCATAAAAGGAAAAAATTAATACATTGGACCATATTAAAATTATGGTATCAGAGTAACTATTATTGAGAGAATGAAAAAGTAGAATGAAAAGGAAGAAAACATATGAAAAATTTATATCCACAATATATAAAGAATCCTACAAATCGATTTTTTTAAGGCTGAAAACCAACTTTTAAAAATAGGTAAAGACTTGAATGTTCACTTTACAAAAGGCCATATCCAGATAGCCAATTAACATACAAGGATTCCATCTTTTATTGTTATCAGTTTCCCTTTCGTCTAATGAGAGAATATGTATGTAATTCAACTATTCAAATACTCTATACTAATGACGTTCTTAAAGAGTATGTTTATAAAGCATTGGCATTGTGTATGATTGCATTAAAGTACAACATCCTTTAAATATTACTGTTTAGGCTCATGATGTTTTGGTGCCATAGACATATAAACATACAGAATCTAAAGGATGCAACAGCAGGAAACACCAGATGGCTTCACAGATACTTATAACCCTTTGGAAAAAGTTTTTCCATTACCATGAAATGTGAGCAAACAGATCTCCCCTGCCACCTGCCTCCTGTCTTTCTCTTTCTCTCTCTCTCTCTCTCTCTCTCGCTCGCTCTCTGTCGCTCCATCTCTGAGCTGTAGACATCACATCCCTGACCCAGGGCCACATCAGGCTCACTGTCGAGGGTCAGTAGTGTCATCCTTCGGGAAACACTGAAGGGACATATGAGGAGCAATGATGAAGTAAGGAGGCCTCTTGTGTGCTCTGCCTGGAGACTTAGTGGGATTTTTAAAAATAAGGTAAATGAAATGGGTGTAAAATTGACACAAAGACCAAGTTAAAACATTCTGCTCTGATACATACTGATTGAAATCATCTAGCGAGCTTTAGAAACTAGCAGTGCCTGAGGCCAAGAGTGTAGCCAGGTGATTCTGCAGTGCAGGCAGGGTTGACAGCCTTGGTGGTGCTCAGTCCTCTCATAGTTAAAGCTGAAATGCCATGCTCACCCTCCTGAGCAACCCTGTTAGGCTACATGACTTGTGTTGTGGCTGGGTTGGGGAGGAGTTCTTTTTACACTTTTTTTCTGGGGGTTGTTGTAAATCCTGGGAATGAGTAACAGAAAGTGGTAAGAGTGTCTTTTCATGAAGATGCTCACAGATTTCCTAAAGAGATAGACTTCCCTCCCTTCCTAATCACCCCTTGAGAACCTCGCTGAAGATAATGGGCACCCAGTGTTATCTCAGCAGAGAGAGCTCTTGCAAACAAGAAAGGCCTAGATCGTTCATGTGTCCCTTCGTCTTTCCTTCTCCTCAGCCCTACTACACTGATCAGGAGTTCATGAGCGTAACGCAAGTATGTCAATACTGTGAAAGCACAGGGCTCCAACAGCCTCCTCCAATGAGAAATGTAGTGGTAGGAGCTGTTTTAATTTTTATTTCTTAAATGCTATTGTGAATACAGATATACTGTCATGAAAATACATCTCTGAGATATTTACATATTTCATACAGCCCTTTGCAACTGCTTTCTTCAGCAGTTAAAATCTTACTCTCCTCTTCAGTAACAAAAAAATAATAGGTATATTTTAATATTTTGTACTATACTGCTTTGATTTCATAAGTTATTCCAAATGCTAACCAGTAAGGCTGTACTCATCTAATAAACTATTTAAGGTTGTCATATGTTCAAGAAAACAGGTTATATAGAACAATTTGAAGACAATGCAATAGAAAAACTTTTAAAGATAGATCCTACTAATTTATCATTTAGCTAATAGGTTTTTGCATTTCTTATATTTTTCTGTTTCTTTACCTATCTTTTCTGCCAGCCAAAGAGCAAACAGTAAATAAAATTTTCATCTACAACCTCCAACCTGGTTCTAATTCTTAACATAGTTTTTCATTCACTAGTTCAGAATATTGTTATTTAATTTTAAAAATCTAAATTTATATATCATTAATATAAGGTGGAATATTTTCATAATTCTGTAACTTAGCAATTTCTTCTTCTAGTTTTAGATATTCCACATATGTAGTAGTATTATCAATGTAGGGTCTCAGCATTTTCCATAGTTTGGAACAAGACCATATTCTTAATTTGTCTAGTGGGAAAAGGAAAGCTGAAGTCCAGAGCAGTTAGACTGTGACTGACTTTCTATATTATTAACATAGGGTACAGAAAATGGAATGCCATTTTTCTGGTCTAAATCGTTTGCTCCCCATCACATATTTGGAGCTTTTCCATGTCTATAAATGGCCAGTTGACTTAGAGGCATAGGGAAGGAGAGCATCTCGTGGTCAGTGAAGGCCTGCAGAACCGTGCACTGAGCAGGTGCCTTTCCACCCTACCTGGTGTATTAGTTCATTTTCATAATAAAGACATGCCCAAGACTGAGTAACTTCTAAGAAAAAGAGGTTTAATGCACTCACAGTTCCACATTGCTGGGGGGGGGGTCTCATAATCATGGCAGAAGGCAAAGGAGGGAACAAAGGCACATCTCACATGGCAGCAGGCAAGAGAGCATGTGCAGGGGAACTCCTTTAAAAAACAGCCTTGGTGGTGCTCAGTCCTTTAATATCCTTTAAATCTGATATTATAAAAATATCAGATTTTGTGAGACTTAGTCACTACCACAAGAACAGCACGGAAAAGACCCGCCCCCATGATTCAATTACCTCCCACCAGGTCCCTCCCACCACACGTGGGAATTCAAGATGAGATTTGGGTGGGGAAACAGCCAAACCATATCTCTTGGGTTGAGACCCATGCCTGATGCATGATGCATCAGCCTTCTGCTCTCCACTTCTCAGCTGAGCATGTGGAGGGTCCGAGAGGCTAGTAACCAATCCAAGGGAGTTGAACCCAGGTTTACCAAACTCTGAAATTCTACCAGTTTGCTACTACTCCAGGAGCTTAGCATCCACTGGGAAGAAGGGAATGGTACACACACAAATAGACACAGCTGAAGAAAAGGGCCATTTACTGTTATGAGTTACACAAATAGCAGTCACCAAGCTAATGGAATCCAGAGAAGTAAGACCTCACTTCCGGATGGGTGGTCCTCGAACTGCTTCTGCATTGAGAAGATCAGCCGTAAGCTGAAGTTTTAAAAAGAGAAGGGATTTCAGGAAGCAAAAAACTAAAATGGAAGAAAAACATCCCAGGAAAAAGTGATGGCTTCAAATGAGAAAGGCATAGACAAGGGAAGATGAGGATGTGAGAAAATAAAGCAGATTCCAAGCCAGTGCACATGTGTCAAGAGGGCAGAGCTGTGTTTGATAGAAGCCAAAGTCAATGTTCATATGCTTTTTGAGGTTAAAGGAAGTATCAAGAACTGTGAACTGAGGAAGTCCCATAAAACTTCCCAGAATGTGATTCGAGGTAGATTGTAAAAGATAGGTATGAATTGTAAGGAAAGGTCTTGAACAGAATGTCAAGATTGAAAGACCCAAGACCTAAGGTGTGCTCGCCCAGTGGGAGGCTAGAGGACAGGTTTTCTCTGGAGAGAGGTTGAGATGGGCTTGGATAGTAGCCATGTAGGCGGTAAAGGACCACTAAAAATACTTTTGTTCAAAAGCTACTCTCAGCAGGGTCACCAGTGGCCTCTTTGTTGTAAATACAATGAATAAATTAAAATAAGTCCTTTCCATCCCTTCTTCTGCATGATCACTCTCAGCTTCTGATAATGCATTGACCAGTTTCTCTGGAAAATCCTGCTGCACTGGTTTTTGAAACACCCCTCTCTCCTGGCTTCCCTCTCACTATGACTCAGTCCCCTCCATAGCCCCTTCTAGGCTTGTCCCTTTGTCCCAGCATTGCATAATCTGGCCCTGTCCTCTACTCATCTTCATCTTCTCCTGAGTGGGGATGACACCCACATACGTGTCTGGGGCCCACCCCCCTGCCAGGACCCCATGGGGACCATCCTACCTGCCTAGTATACAGTTCCTTTGGAAGAGTACGATCGCTGCTGTCAGTCTGGCCCCCTCCAGCCCAGCTTTCTCCCAGACACAGATCTGGTCATGCCTTTCCCCGAAATCCATGGCTTTAGCATACAGTGGCATTAGAATTTCCATGATCCCACCTCCCCCATGTGGCCCAGCCGAGGTCCACCTTCAGAACCTGCCTGCATGATGAGGAGGCCAAGGTTGCCTTCTCACCCACATTTCAGTCCAATTATGAACCTTTAAAATACTCCCTCTCAAACTGCTAGGCATGTTGCCCCTGGAAATCTTTGTTTCTTCCAGATTTGACCCTCTTCCAGCCTGGCAAAGGCAATGGCTGCCACTCTAGATTTCTGCTTGACAGACATGACCTCAAGACCTGCAGACTTGACCAGGCATGGTGGCTCACACCTCTAATCCCAACACTTTGGGAGGCCAAGGTGGAAGGATTGCTTGAGGCCAGGAGTTTGAGACCAGCCTGGGCAACATAGTGGGACCCTCTACAAAAAAGTAAAACATTAGTCGGGCATGGTGGTGCATGCCTGTAGTCCCAGCTACTTGGGAGGCTGAAGTGGGAGAATCGCTTAAGCCCAAGAGTTTGAGGCTGCAGAAAGCTATTATTGCACCACTGCACTCCAGCCTGTGTGACAAAGCAAGACCCTGTCTTTAAAAAAAAAAAAAAAAAAAACGTGGAGACCAGAGAAATAAACCTGCAGACCAGAGAAATAAACCTGCCATAGCCAATTTATCTCACTCTGTGTGTGGCAAGGGCTTTGGAAAAGAATGTTATCATTAATCGTGGTTTGTGACAGTGCATTCAGTGTAAATTTTTATTGCCAAGAATACTTGCCCAAGGTTTTTCTGTTCCTGTTTGTTTATGCTTCTTGAAATACTTTGAAACACTGCTTAATTACTCTTATATCGGTATAGAGATATATGTACATATATGAAGACACATAAGTGTATATGCATGCATACTGTGAACATACATGCATGCATTCACATGCATGCATAAATGTACACACACGCACAGACATATACATTATACATTTGGGTGGTGGGAGCTATTTTTCTTCCTTTTTTTCTTTTGTTCTTTTCTTCCTTCTCTCTGATCCTGTCCCCATAGCAAACAGAGTGTGTGGCTTGTGTTGTTGTTGCCTTGGCGTTTCGGGCCAGCCCCCCTGTCAAGTCCTGCATCCTCTTTTCATTAGACCTCCTGGATGGCAGCAGGGCCTGCCGACAGTGCAGAGGCGGCTGCTGGCCGGCTGGGGTATTCTCACTGCAGTCTGCGCCTACAGGCTTGATGAAAATCCAATTCATGTTACCCTACTCTGGCTCAGGCACTGTTAAAATTGAGAGATATATTCAATTTTAAGCAAGAACAAACGAAATCTGTCTTCTAAAGAAAAGTAGGAACAGCCTCTTGTGGCATTTCTTTAAATGGACTAATATGTTGATCTCGGAGAAACTGGGAGCCATCTTTCGTGTTTTCATTATTAAGCCAGGTAAAATGAAAATCAAATCTCACTCCCAAATGCCACCTCTGGGAATTCTCTGTTGTTTCTGTTTTAAAGTAACCTACATGATTCCTTCTGTCATTAAGGCATACTGTTGAAAATGTAAGATTTCAGTCTTCTTTTTTTTTTTTTTAGTTTTAGATACTGTTTAGGTACTTCCTGTTTGCAGGGCTCATGCAAAGAACATTTCATAATGTTCACTGGTTGTGAATATCTAATTGTATGAGAAATAATTGCTGTGGATCTTACTTCACAAATAAACGACAATCCGAACCTGGCAATAACCTACCAATTATCAGAGTACTGCATCATAGTCCGTCACAGATACCTAAGTCCTTATTTATTTACATGTTTGTTTTTAAGTGAAATTATGTGTCATAAAATGTAGGCATTAAATGGTAACTTTCGCCACACTAGGTTATTCCTGATGATCTAGGGAAAATACTTTTTTGCGTTGAGTGCTTTCGCTTAGTAACTCTTATAAAGGAGCAAATATTCATATGATTGTAAGAGAACAGAAGAATGCTTTCTTCTTTCTTTTGCTAGGTTCACTAACTCACTGACCTTGTAGCTCAGTGCTGTTTATCTGACTCGAAGGGGGAAATTCTGGAAAGTGGGCTTAGCATTGCTTTATTCTTACTTACCAGGAAAAACTCAAAAGGCCAGAGGGGTGTGTGTTTATTTTTCTCTTAAAAAGGTGGAATTGGGCTAAAGCGAGAGCTTCAGGGGGGATCTTGTGACATTCCCATCATGTCTGTTGTGATTTGAAAGCTTTGCAGGTTCATGAGCAGCTGCAGAGCTGCGCCTGGGAAGTCAGGATTGCCTTGCAGTACAGATTCTCACCCGTACTCTCCTATCCATCTTTCCCCGTCACCACCCCTCCCTGAAGAAGAGCTGGGTGTTTCTGTTTCTGTTTCTGGGTTTAGCACAAAACAGATTATAGGAGATCTGGATTCGGTTGCATAAAACAAATCTGAGACAGGGCATTATTCTAATGACATCTAGAGCATGAGGCAGCTCAGCAAGGAGCCTCCGCAGGTCACCCATCCAGACTCGAAGTCCTTCAAGATGCACGGGCAGCCCCGGCCATTCCACACGTGCACCATTGCTTTGCTTTTTATTTCTTTGCCCCTCTATCCTGGCTTCTGCCCCCACCTTATTCTTTCTGCTACCAGTGGATTGGCTGCCACTGTGTTCTGGAATGCTGTGATGAGTTCAGTATAGCAAATGCACAGGCACACTCTTGCACACATACATACCATGGGTTCCTGCCCCAGCCACTCCAAAGACCTGGACCATTAGCAGGCACCTGTGGTCCCAGCACCTCTCCTAGGACCCAGGGGCTCTCCACCTGAAGCACAGTGCCTTGCTGGAAGGAGCCGCCTCTTGGCCACTCTGCAGAAAAAGGGGCTGTGAGCCTCAGCTTCATGAACGGCTGCCTTGCATGTTGAGCTTAGGCTGTATCTTTGGAACACAGTCTTCCTCTTCAGAGCTAACTTCGTTTCATCATCCTGGATTTGATAAGGGTTATTCATTCTAGCTCTTTGCCTCCTATTTTGGCAAACACTCCAGAAGACAGATGATACCATCCTATTGAAAAAATGACTGTTGAATAACAGATTATAAATCTGTGTGTTTCCTCTGGAGAACTGTGTGTGAAATGAGAACATTGGGTTTGTCCAGCCTGCCTCCAAACATATCTCAAGATGTTTCTCTCTGCCTGTTGTCCTTAGCCATAGGAGACAACTAATGTGTATTTCACAGGGAACATGTATAATACTTTGGAACATACACAATTCCGAGAGGTGTAACATACCAGAGACCTTTGCTTTTTCCTTTGCTTTGCTTAATGCCTTAAACTTTCCTAAGTGCTCCTCCGTACATTAACATGTGAGCCTTCAAAGTAGCTGGGAGAGGCTATCCATACGTTTTGCTGCCAAGAAAAACAGGCCCAACACTTTACAACAGAATAATGGCAGGACCAGTGTGAGAATCCTGGTTTTCTGGTAGGCTGGTTCCCTGACATCCTGGTTCAGCAACGTATCATCCTTAAAAGATATATAAATGTTGGCATGACTACCCAGCCTTTCCAACACCCACAGCCAGTGAAACCCAGTTACTGAAAAATGATGGAAAGTACCAGCATCAGTAATTTCCTTCTGTGTATATGATCTCAGTGGCTGAGGAATTGCCTAGTAGCCTAGTAAAGACGGACTCTGAAAACTGTCCTGTTTCTGTAGTAGTATTTATTAGTAATCCATCTCAGCCGGGCTCAGAGGCTCACACCTGTAATCCCACCACAATGGGAGGCCAAGGCAGGCAGATCACTTGAGGCCAGGAGTTCAAGACCAGCCTGGCCAACATGGTGAAACCCCCGTCTCTACTAAAAATGCAAAAATTATCCAGGCGGTGGCGCATGCCTGTAATCCCAGCTACTCAGGAGGCTGAAGCAGTAGAATTGCTTGAACCCGGGAGACAGAGTTTGCAGTGAGCCAAGATCACACCACTGCACTCCAACCTGGGCAACAGAGCAAGACTCTATCTCAAAAAAATAATAATAATAAAAGATCCGTCTCACAGTAGGCAGGGTAGGGGACTCAGTAATTCTGTACAGAAAAGAAGCAGTGCTTCTGTGTCACTCTTGCTCCGTCTATGCATCCCATCCACCATCCTGTTAGAACGGCATTGTTTATTAAAAGTCCCAGGCCTGGGGTGAGGAGACCTGAACCCTGATGCCCCCCTCTGACACTGTGTAATTTGGGTGAAGTTACTGCACCTTTGTGAATCCGCCTTTCTTTTTTATTTTTATTTATTCATTTATTTTTTGAGACGGAGTCTCGCTCTGTCGCCCAGGCTGGAGTGCAGTGGCGCGATCCCGGCTCACTGCAAGCTCCGCCTCCCGGGTTCACGCCATTCTCCTGCCTCAGCCTCCCGAGTAGCTGGGACTACAGGCGCGTGACACCACGCCCGGCTAATTCTTTTGTGTGTTTTTAGTACAGACAGGGTTTCACAGTGTTCGTCAGGATGGTCTCGATCTCCTGACCTCATGATCTGCCCACCTTGGCCTCCCAAAGTCCTGGGATTACAGGCTTGAGCCACCGCGCCCGGCCGAATCCGCCTTTCTTTTTAATCTGTATGAGGTGTTGGGTTGTCTTCTGATGTTTCCATCTGTGTCCTGTGTGATCGTAGATACTGCATGCCACTCTCTGTCCAGCACGTGATGCCCTTTGCAACCTCCTTTCTCACCCACCCTGGGGCTTGGGAGCTGGAGATGGGGGAATAGGGGTGGTCAGTGAAATATTAAAAATCAGACTCCTATAGACACAGTTTGCAGGTGTTATATGGAGTTCCTTCTACTGTTTCATTCTACTGCATTACATTTTTATGTTAACTTAATAGGCTAATATTTTATGAACTTGTAAGATTGAATATATGGAATGAAATCAATGTTTCTGATAATTACTTGATGGGGTGGGGAGTTTCAGGAGAAAGTCATTTAAAACCTCCAGACTGATATTGATTAAAATTAGTGGCTTAAAGATTTAGAATATCTAATTTATAGGGTTTTTTTCTTGGTTGACTCTATAACTTAGGTAAAAAAATGTTTCCGTAGCTTTTATGATAACATTTAGCAGGTAATTTTCTTTACTAGATGTAGGGAAGAGCCAGCAATTTACAATCAGAGCATTCCATATATCCCTGTTTAGGGCGTTTCAGGGTTTATTGCTGCAATTTAGCATTTTTATCTGGGATGTTCAACTTCTAAGGGACGGGCTCTCTGTTTGCTGTTTTAAAATTATTAGAGTCTTTCATTGTATCTGTCTGTATTCACAGCATATATGGTCATTTCATTTGAGTGTTCATGAACAGCCCTCAATATATCAGTGATTACTTTATGTGTCGAGCACCGTACAACAGTGGTTGCCAGTTCTGACTACACATCAGGATGTATTTTTGAAGACTTACAGAGGTGATTTTGTTGAGCATCACTGTTGAAAACCACAGGTTTTCCAAGAGTGTCCGTGTGTATTTCACATGGCTTTACTCGTCAGGAGGTACTGGTGATTGCCTCTTTCACAAAAGAGGAAACTGAGGCTCTGGAAGGTTCTGTGAGTTGCCCCCGGTCACACCGAACAGCAGCACTTCATCAAGTTAGTTTCCAGATGTCCAGCTTCTCTCTGCCCAGCTGGGCAGGCACAAGAGACTTGCTGTGTTATGACCTGGTGTCTTAGTTTTGTTTAAGATTAGCAAGGGCGCCAGGTGTGGTGGTTCACACTTGTAATCCCAGCACTTTTGGAGGCTGAGGTGGGCGGGTCACTTGAGGTCAGGAGTTTGACAGCAACCTGGCCACCATGGCAAAACACCATCTCTCCTAAAATATAAAAATTAGCCAGGCGTGTTGGTGCACACCTGTAATCCCAGCTACTCAGGAGGCTGAGGCAGGAGAATTGCTGGAACCCAGGAGGCGAGGCAGAGCTGAGATCACACGACTGCACTCCAGCCTGAACGACAGAACGAGACCCTCTCTCACACAAAAAAAATAATAATAAGATTACCAATGGTTCAACAGAAACAAAACCAACAGCCTAGTGTATTGTGACAGTCCTGGGACACAGAGGCAGAATTAGGTACGTACTGCCTTCATTTAAGGAACCTGCAAGCCCAGCGGCCTTAAGTATGCTACTAAGGATATAGTACTAGTTGTCACATAAATAAAATTCTAAATCCTGTCATTAAATAAGCCACCCTTATGCCTTTCTCATCTGGCAGCAAGTTTGTCAGCACAGGGCAGTGGGTAAAGAGTTGCCGTCTGCTGCGTGTTTCCATTTGCCCCGTGACCTAGCCTGGAATTCCTACCAGCCAACAACAGAGGAGGCCCAAGAGGAAGGCTTTCCCCAGAAACACGCAGTCCCATCCCCTGGAAACAGTTCCATGAGCACATTAGCTTAGCTGATTATGAGAGTAGCTAGGCATCAGCTCAGGCACTGAGTAAAGCAGACCTTTGTAATGGGGCTGAGGGAGGAAGCGTGTACAACAGAGGGGAACAGCCAGGCCGGAGACAGACACGCAGCTGGGGCTGCCTCACTTCTCCGTTTGCCTCCACCAGCCATGCCTTCTGACTGGACATTTTCACCAAAGAAGATACGATGGGGTATAGTTTTTAAAAAAATATTAGAAGGATGGCAGATTATTAAAAGCCAGCTCTCGCCCCCTATTTAATCTAGTACGTCATGCCGGCACTGGAGGTAGTACATGTGTGTCATTCATTGTTTGTGGGTGTTTCCCCGAGTGACATAGTTGTCGCTTAGTTGCCGCTTTCCTAGGAAATGCTTTTGGCATCACATACTTGCCTGCAGCTGATCAGGGAAGCAGCTTGGCAGGGCAGGAGAAACACAGAGCTGAGTCTGCCGCTCTCACTGGCGTGCTAACCATGGGCAAGCTGCTTAGCTTCTCAGCGTCATGTTGCTCCTCATCTATAGAATGAAGTTGGGTCAGTGATTTTTCTCTAAGGTCCTTTCCAGTTCCCATACTTAGTGGTTCCAGTGATACATATTGACAAGAATATGGTATCATTCTTTTATTCATTCATCAAATATGCGTGAATCACCCATGTCTGGGAGCTTGCTAGATGCTGTGAGCAATTGCAGCAGTGAATCCCACAAAGATCCTGCTTTCCTGGAGCCTGTCATCCAGCCAGGGAGACAAAATGGGGGCACACAGGATTCTCCCAGAAAGCAAAATGGGAAAAATACTGGTAGAAAAGAACAAGGAAAAACTTATCTTCTATTTGTTAAGCCTCCCTCTGTGCCCTAAAGACTCTATTTGATAATTTATGGACTTTTAATTTAATTATGACAGTAATCCGGTGAGGTGGATTTTATTATCCCACTTTATAGATAAGGAATCAAACATTCAGAGAATAAATAATCTGCCCCTAGTCATGCAGCTAGTAAATTGAGCCAGGATTTCAGAACAAGCCTTTCTGCTTTGAAAGCCCATCCCTTCTCCATTAGAACATGCTGCCTCCTGATAAAATGCTTGGCGAATTGATACAGGAGATAGCATATGCCACCGAGGGCAGGATAAGCATTTTCTGGTAGAGGAGCCGTTTGCTCAAGGACCGAGAAGTGGGTGGAATTGGCACGTGTGACTGGGGAGAGGATTTCCTGGAGGCAACAACTGTGAAGGAGTCGGGGCAAACCCAGTGAAAGGGAGATGGGCCAGGCAGAGACTTCAGAAATTATTTAAAAGGCATTTTGGAGGCCGGGTGCGGTGGCTCATGCCTGTAATCCCAGCACTGTGGGAGGCTGAGGCAGGCAGATCACGAGGTCAACAGATAGAGACCATCCTGGCCAACATGGTGAAAACCCGTCTCTACTAAAAATACAAAAAATTAGCTGGGCATGGTGGCACGCATCTGTAGTCCCAGCTACTCAGGAGGCTGAGGCAGGAGGATCCCTTGAACCCAGGAGGCGGAGGTTGCAGTGAGCCAAGATCGTGCCACTGCAATCCAGCCTAGTGACAGAGCAAGACTCCGTTGCAAAAAAAAAAAAAAAAAATTCAAAACAAACAAAAGGCATTTTGGAGCCCCTGAAGATTTGGAGTAAGAGGTTAAATAAGTAAAGGTCACTTCTAGCCATGCCATGAGAGTACTAGTGTAGACACTGATTAAATAAGCTGATAGGGGCTTGAATTGAAGATTAAAAGTCAGGAAGGGAGAAAAGAAGACATGGAAGAGAATGCTATACCATTCTCATAAAGGCTGTGTCATCAGAAATAGCAAACTCAAACTCAGGAACAGGAGCCAACCTTAGAAACACATTGAGGACTCTGATTTTAGTGACTCTAAGCTGCAAGAGATTGGTTCAGCTGTAGTTCTACAACTCAAGATAGTAGTCAGAGCCTGAGCATGCAGCGGTTACACGCTTGCAGGGGAGAGCTGGAGGCTCGATTGAGAATTAGTAAATGCATGACACTCTGCTGCTCACAGAACATGTGCACATTTGCTATCTCAGATGCTTTTCAAGGTGGCCAAAGGAGAGACCACAAAGAAAGAATAATTATGTTAATAGCTAACAATTAGTGAGGGCCTACTGTGTACTAGGCACTGTGCTCAGGATTTTGCATACCTCAGACCTCACCTCCCTATGAGGTGTCATTATTATATCCCATTTGCATAGAAAGTACCTGAAACCAGGGTATCCATGGTCACAGAACTAATACATGGCCAAGCTGGGACTTGAACCCAGGTCTGATGGCCTAAGGTCCCCAGCCTTGGTTAAACAGAGAAGGAAAGGAGGTGCAACAATAGGGGAAAATCAGAATCCAAAAGAAGAAAAAATTGCAAGGAGGGCAGATATGGTTGGTTTCTCTGTTTATTCGTTTGCCATTAGAAACTTTGAGAATAAAGGTCCAGAATGTAGTTGATTAAAATAATGTACACCTGGTTCACCACTGTTACTGATCACCTGCCTTCTACAAAGCTTACGTATTGAGCTTTTATGGGACAGATGGGCTGCGGTGCATTACTGCCTCTTAATACCCTGCTTTACTGTAGCCTGAAACAAGGGTGGCTGTCTGAATGTCAGCGAGGACTTGGGGATGCCAGAGGCATGCTGCTGTGTTCATCTGCTTCTGTGCATAAAGATTTAACATTTGACGTTTGCCCTTTGTTACATTTATCCTAGAGTGTCTTAACATTATTTTAAAGTGATGGATGTTTTGCTCGTAGGAAATCATTCAGAGGTGTAACAAACGTAGTACCATGATGAACTAGTAAGACGACATGTTCTGGGAATGGCTTGCACCTGCCTGTTGTGCATATGTGTGTCCATGTGTGGACAGGCATGCTTTTAAGTGGAATTGTGTATCTGATGTTTACGTATCTAAATAATGTATATATAATTTGGTCCAGATTTTCTATTACCTCATAGTTTTATTATTCCAATGAGAACTTTATAAGAAGCCCTCTGATATCCTCATCTCCACAGTAGTCAGGGACTTCAGGGTTCCTCTTCCCACCCCCACCCCCAGAAGACATACCAAGATTTTCAGATTAATGCTTCCCCTAATTCTAGAGTATTTTGGAGAATATCTCTCTGGAGAAGCAATAAGGATCAGTGGTTTGAGCTACGACTTTGAAAGCAGACATGTAAAGAGGTTTGAATCCCAGCTTTACGACATGCTATCTGACCTTGGTTAACCACTGAAAATCTCCCTAGCCTCAGTTTCAGTGTCTGAGATAATGAGCCTGACACCATCCTTGATATCTGTGTCCTGGGGACCTGGAGGAATTAATGAGCTGATGCCATAAAATACCGATCCTGGGTTGAAGGGCCTCTCCTGTGAGGTCTTTCTGTTGCAGTGCGTCTTTGTTAGCAGGCTTTTCCCACGTGTCGGGGCTTCTTTCAGGCCCTCATTTTAGTGTTATCACCACATTAGTGCCTATTTCACTTATTTTTGAAAACCTGAAAATATCATACATACTGATGGAAATTTCATTGAATATTAATGAACACTCAGAACTGTACCTGCAACAGAAAGCGAAATTGGCTAAATATTACTCATCCAATCATTTATCTGAAAGATGGTGTCATTTTCCAATCCTAAAAATATAATAATTAATGTGAAATTTCAGGTTTAAAGTACAGTTTTAAAATATCAAGCAAGCATCATGTCAAAAATGAAATTTTATTAAAGGAGCTATTCTAGACGATTAAGAAATGAAAACTTAGAGTTCTAGGGGAAAAATTCAGAACCACGTTTAATTTTATACTTGGAAGCGCGCTACAAATGACAAGGTAATTTTTATATGTATATTTATAGATTTAATTAGCAGTTATTCCATTATATCTTTCATATAACTATAAATGGAAAATGATTTCAGACAAGAGGCTCTCATCTTCAAGAATTATTGTTGGTAAAGTTATGGGAGAGCTGATTTCTCAGTCACTATAAGCAGAGAGAGAGAGAGAGAGAGAGGTGTGTGTGTGTAAAGGTCATTACCTGTCACCTAATATGAATTCTTTCATTAAAAAATACTTTCTATAACTTTTCTCATTTTCTCATCCATGTTTTGCACTTGAGACTATTTAGAAGGCACCATGACTTGTTCAAGGCGTATACCCAGCCCAGCTCAGGATTACGATACAGAGTTCTAACTCTGCCCCCTCAGCCCAGCTCAGGATTACGATTCAGAATTCTAACTCTCCCCACACAGCACGGGAAGTCCTGCATACCCTGCTGATCTGTGGGTGTCACATAGCCTTGAGGCTCATAAAGGTCTTTGCTTCTCCTTCCTGCTTTTACGTTTCAGTGAATATTGAGGCACTGGGTAGTGGATGATGGAGACTCGGTACCCACTGCTGAGGGTGGGGACCAAGTCTGCGTCATCCTCTCCTCAGTGCCTCAAACGGTCTGGGAGCCAATGTTCAACAAACGAGCATGCGGGTGAGTAAAACACAACCAGCTGTAAGACGTGCTGTTCAAAAGGGCGGGCTGGGAGGGTGGCCGGGACACCAGTCACGGATGTCTTCTGTGAGCAAGAGCTCTTTCATCTGGGACCTGGTGATGAGTAAGGTGACGTGAAGGGAGAGTGGGGGAGGGCAGGTGGCCTGGGGAGTGCTAACGAGCTTGGTGTGTTCTGGAACTGAAAGAAGACAGAGATTGTTTTCCCGCTCCATGTGGAGAGAACCAGTTGCCCACTAATTTACAAAAGGAAAGTCGGACAGTAATCTCTCATCAGCGTGGCTATCAATGAGACCTGGAGCTTCCAGGAAAATTTGGCTTAATAAGTACCATACTGTTACTTCCTCGGGAATATTAAAAAGGAAGGAGCGATGAGACAGAAGGGCCTAATTCACCCTGCCGTGGACCACGTCTGACTTGGCCTGCTAACAAAGCATGTTTAGGCAGTAGGGAGAGAACCGAGGGGAGATGGACGTCTCTACATGGAAATATTTTCTGAATGTGAATTTTAGTATCCCTGTTTCCTGTCTTCCTTCAAAGATGAAAAGGAATCCATGTATAAAACAGGTAGTCACATGAGCATATGTAAAGTTTGGTTAAGCAAATTCAAGGACTTTTTCTACTTACCTAGGGCCAGTATATTCTGTGGACATTGATAACCCATAGTTTCAACTGTAACCTCACATTGATCCCCAGTTTTCAGAGAAAGAGGACACCATCTACTTCTGGTCACTGGCATTTTAGGTGAAATCCTGCAGTGATTGTTTACTGGTAGCCTAATTAGGTACGTTATCCATTATTTAACCCAAAATCCAGGTTAAAATATGACATCAGTGACTTTAGCTAGACCATAACTACACACGTTTACTTCCTGGAGTCATTAAACTGCTTAAAGAAAACAAAATCCCAGCACACCCTTGTTTTGTTAAGGTAACAAAATGAGCTCGTATCAAACATAAATACAGGTTTAAATTACTGTAAAATTTTTTTGTGGACTCAAACACAAACATCACAGCAAAGCTTACCTGTGACCCAATTAGGATCATCATGAAAACATAAATCCCAGTTCTACTCAAGTAATACCAATGGCCTGGTACCAATGGCTTCCAGCAGGCCACTGGGGTTTGACTGCCAACTAGGAAAAGCCCCTGCCTCTGGGGGATAGATGATGGGGAAATCATTCCATCCATCTCAGTGCTGAGCTCTCACATGCTCTTCTGCTTTTCTGTAAATTGACCTAAAATGGCCATCTTTGATGGTCTCTCACTTTCCCTCTAAATCCCTGATGTGAGAATGTATTGGAATTATTTCATGTAACAGTGTGTCTGCCCACAGACCGGCCTCCTGGCTCCAGCTTAGCAGTGTCCAACAGTAAAAATAGAAAAGCCCCTGAGTCTTGTCTTCTTTTGAGAGGAAAGAACCCTTTTGCAGAAGGCCCAGGAACCCCCTCCTCTAGCCACTTTGGCCAGAGTTGTGGTATGCAATTATTCCTAAGCTGTTCACTGGACAGGTAGCTGGGCCCCACCACAACTGCCTAACGTCAAGCAAGATTGATGCCTGGGGGCTGTGCTGGGAAGAGGCCCGCTTCAGGGGGAAATTGGGGCTGTGTTGAGAAGGAAGGAGGGTAGCTGTGGAGTGGGCCACTGAGTGGGGCCTGCGTTTCACAAGCATTCCAGGTCCTGCCTGGGGGTATAAATCCTGGCTCTCCCTTTTCCAGCTCTATGGACTGCACAAAAGTATAATACTATCTAACTTCTCGGCATTTCTGTTTTTTCACCAATAAAAAAAATGAAGGTAACAATACCCCCTCAGAAGATAACATGCGAGCAAGATGGAAGCACAGACCTGGCACAGGCCCATTCTTTACTCTGAGTCAAGTCTAGTCTCCTTAGGGACAGGGCATCAATAAGGGACCCCTCAGCACCTTGCACGATTCATTTAGTTCTCAGGAATTCATTTGCTAGGACTGAATACGGGAAACATGCTACTAAACTGCCCCTGAACTCACAGGCTTGTGATGTGTGGTGGATGAGACACAGCCCGTGCTGAGGCAGGCAGGTCTGAATCCAGTGCCAGAAGCACCATGTGCCATGAGGTGGCATTCGAATATTTGGAGCAATGAAGCGATCTCATTGAATGTATATATATGCTAGAGGAATTGCAATCATGAGAAAAATTAATTGCAGAGTTGATCGTAGAGGCATAGTGTCCAGGCAGAAACCTAATCCAAGCAAGAGATCATTTGACGGCTGAGGGAAGAGAGAGCCAAGGGGAATGGAGTGGAATGGAATGGAATGCAGGAACTCTAGAGGGGATTTAAAGGCTGAATATGCTGGTTTGCGGGCTTGAGTTAGGAGCCCACCTCTAGCAGTCAATATTACTAGAGCATTGGTGGTGAAGCCGTGGGTGTAAATAAGACCACGTGAAGTGGGCGTATATTAAAGACATATTGGTGACCTTTCTGATGTTTTCTACCATTTCATATTAATAGGCATGAGGATCGAAAATAGGAAATGATTTTTCTTTTCTCCTCCCTGGCAGCCTTCTCTGCTGTGATGTTTTTTCCTCATAAGGCTGGGGTCCTATTGCTTTCCCTTCTGATGAAGCTTTTTTATTACTTGGTGGGTAGAGGGCCTTAGGTGTGGCAGAGAAATTCCGCAGCCTCGCCCTCGCCGTCATAGTGATGAAGAGCGTTGACTCCGGAGTCACCAAGGGAAATTAAGCACATGTTTTATTAATCTTTATGAACCTCAGTTTCCTCTCCTGCAAAATGAGAACAATACTGGTGCCGACTTCGCAGCACTGTTTGCAGCGTGAGGGCGATAAGGCACTTACACAGGCGCGTGCCCCCCACATGGAAATGCCTGGAGATGCTGCCGGCTCCTCCACTCACCGAAACTGCACTTTCTCTCCTTTGTTCTAAATGAGAAACCAGGTGTGGGGAGCAAATGGGAGAAAGGGGCAGGAGAAGCTTGCCTCAGATTCCAACTCATATGACCTGTCAGTGACTAAAGACGGAATGCCAACACATGGATTGTGTGTGTGAAATGCCAGGTTGGTGTTTTCCACAGGGATGTGCCCGTTGTTCTCTGCTTTCTGTGGAATTCTCTTCCAGCGCCAGGCCTGGAGATGGGGCCTGCCCTTTTACCTCTCAAATATGTTCCCAGGGAAGAGTGTGTCCTTCTCCGGGAGCCACCCCATCACACTGACTCTCACTTTGGGCTCATTGCTAGAAACTCTGTGGCCTGCGCCTGCTTCCCATGTCGCGTCAAAGCGTCTCAGCACAGACCTAAAGGAGACCTCAGAGGTCACCCAGCGTGGCCTCGCAGAAACACCTGCGGGAAGGGATTACGGAGGTTTGCAGGGAAGGCCGGGCAGCCCGGGAGTGAGCGCCGCACTGCAGCTCCCAGACACATGCAGCTCCTGCTCCCAGGCAGGAACAAAGTGATTTCCCAGCTCCTGGGGCCATGGGTAGCTAACTGATTAAATACCCGGTTTGGAAAATTCACCTGACGTATTTCTTTTTTTTTTTTTTTTTTTTTTTTTTTTTTTGAGACGGAGTCTCGCTGTGTCGCCCAGGCTGGAGTGCAGTGGCGTGATCTCGGCTCACCTCCCAGGTTCACGCCATTCTCCTGCCTCAGCCTCCCAAGTAGCTGGGACTGCGGGCGCCCACCGCCATGCCCGGCTAATTTTTTGTGTTTTTAGTAGAGACGGGGATTCACCATGTTAGCCAGGATGGTCTCGATCTCCTGAGCTTGTGATCTGCCCGCCTCAGCCTCCCAAAGTGCTGGAATTACAGGCTTCAGCCACCGCACCCGGCCTCACCTGACATATTTCTTACACGTAAGCCACTTCTTTTTCTTGTCCAAACTGAGGCTAGCCCTCACCCAAGACTTGCCTGTATCTCAGTGCAGGTAGCTGAGCAAGGCACAGCCGCCAGGAGGAAGTCGGGGAACAGCAGCCGGAGCCTGGGGAAGCCCTGCACAAGTTGGCCTTGAGGAAACCACCTGACAGACGTTTGCTCTTCCTCACAGAGCTGGTGAGCATTCTGACTATGTGGTCACATCAGATCAGATCGCTCTCACCTCTCTAAGCATTTCTTTTTCTGGAGTATGAAGCAGCTATTCAGGGAGGAAAGCAATTTGATGTCAGGGGCTTCTTTGAGCCTTGGGAATTAGACCTCAGAAGCTTAGAATTGGAGCTCAGCTGCTGGTGGAAGATATACTGTGAATGTTTTATTCAGTAATGCATATATAACATTGAGCAGAATCCAAATACATAAATCACTTATACAATAGCTGTGAAGAGCCACCTTCCAGCACTTGAGAACCCGGCAGCCAGTGGCTCACAAAGGCCTCTGTCGCCATCTGCTGGCCGCATGCTTTCTCATGCTGTTAATTCTTGCTCTGGTATTTTTTGTTCCCGCAGCCTTTGGCACTCAGGTTCTTCTGCTGTAAAATTTGCCTCCATCAGAGCTGTATTGCCTTGTGTTTTTGAGGCTTGCAGAAGAGACCCTTAGCACTCCTTAAAATTCTGGCAGGACAGAGAAAACAAGATGGAGAGAGATGACAAAGCCGATTTCTTCCTCCTGGCTTTTTTTTAACCAGTTCTGTGCACTATCAGGCCCTCTGAGCTTAGGCCTATGCCAGCCACATCTCAAGGCCAAGGACACAATACTCGGTTTGTCTTTATAATAGGTCCTGTTATTGTGTCTGTCAACCTCCCGATGTCTGTATCACAGTCACCAATATATTACGCTAAGGAAATAGGAATTATTCACATTGCCAGTAAAACTTGCCCATGTATAAGCACAGACTCACACAGTTATGGGCCTGAAGACCATCCCCAGTGGCGAAACTGTGCCCCAGAGGTTGCCATAAGTCACTGGAGCCAGAAGGCATATTTGATCCCCTGTGTAAGATTGGCCACCGTACCCTGAATGACAGTGGTGTGCTGACTCACACAGAAGATCCGCTTGTGGTGCAGGCTTGGCCTCCTCAATGTGGCCACAGGCCCTAGAGCGCTAACAGATGTCACTTATCGGGATCACCCCTGAGGCATTGTGAACAGGAAGTGGCATCACTGATCTCCCACCAGCTCTGAACCAATACATGTGGCATCCCAACTTCCGGAGAGGCTGGACAGAGCATATCCGGAATGCAGCCACGTGGGGAGTCAGAGTAGGGCAAGGATATAGGAGTGCTGATGAAAACTGAAAACACAGGGGACCGGCCCGCGATGCGGCCTCCTGGGAGACATCTGCATGAGGCCAGCAGGCCAAGGGTCCATGGCTGGGGATGGCTGCGCTCTCCTTAGGGAAAGGCATTCCAGAAACTGAAGTTACGAGGCAGCGTAGGGAAAGCATCCTGGGCTCTTCAAATCTGGGCATGGCTGTGAGTCCCAAAGCGTTGTCAGTTTACACCATCTCCTAATGCAAGGGCTAAGTCATTAGGGAAAAAATCATGTTTCAGGTTTTAAGGGGAAAAAATGAAAAGGTGCATGGCCTTTACCTGTAAACAGTAGAAGGGGGTGGGGAATGGTTGAATGGTAGAAATGAAAATCAAGAAATCTAGCAATGGCTGGTGATTTAAGGACCTTGTATATCAGTTATTGCTGCACAGTAAGTCATCCCCCAAAACTTAGTGGCTTCAAAGAACAATCTTCATTTATTGCCACATCCCACTTCTATAGGTCAAGAATTCAGACAGGGCATGGCGAGGGGGGCTTGTGTTGCTCCACAGTGATTGAACCTCAGCTGGAAGATTGGAAAGCTGGGGGCAGGAATCATCTTTTACTTAGCTGTCTGGAGGTTGATGCTAGTTGTGAGCCAGGAGTCTGGCCAGGGTGTCAGCCAGAACATAGCACATATGGCCTCACTGTAACCTGGGCTTCCTCACAACATGGCGGCTGGGTTCCAAAGGCAAGAGTCCCAGCAGAGAGAGCCACACAGAAGCCATATTTTCTCTACGGCATAGCCTCAGGAGTTGTACAGCGTCACCTCCACTGTCAAGGTTATAGAACCTGTCCAGGTTCACATAGAGAGAACACAAACCCCTTCACTCAGTAGAGGAGGGTCCATTCATTGTAATACAATCATTGGAAAACACCATCTGCCACACCGGTTTCCTTATCACCTGTACCCGCATCCCCCCCGACACATGCACAGAAACAGGGCAGCCTGTCACAGACCCTCAGCGATCATGGCATGGGTTTGTGCTGGGTAAATAGGTGCGTTTGTGGGTCAGCTCTGCTTCTGGTTTGTAGTTTGACCTGGTCTTAACCTCTCTGGATCTCAGTTTCTTCTTCTGGGAAACAAAAAGGCTGAGCTCCAAACCCAGTCATTGGAAACTTTAACGTTTTCTCTTAACCTTTTTTATACCCTCATGCCTATTCCTCAGTGGTAGTGAGGGTCACGGTTCAGTTTGGTGGGGGGGTAAAAGTTTGGAAAAGCCTCCCTCAAAAGCTCTAGAATCCCTTCCAGCTCTGACCTCCGTGAGTGTTGAGATGCTGGTCATGCTCTTTGGCTTTTTGGGATTTTACTTTCCTGCTCTGTAAAATGAAGGGTCTACTAAATTATCAGTTAAACTTTTTCCAGCTGTCATGTTTGATGTTAGTATGCGTTTTGATATAATGAGGTTCCTTCATCCACACCAGTACTGTTCCGCTACGGTGGACATGTGCGTTGGCAGAAGAAATCCTGTATTTACAAGTTCCTGCCCAGGCTATTGAAGAGGCTCTTCCTTTCTGTGGAATGATAGAAGCTTGAGTGGCTTTTGCAGCAGGGACCTGAGAAATCAGCCTACTCTCCACTTTACAGAGAGAAAACTGATGCGCAGAGAAGCCGAGTGATTGCCAAGGACAGAGGGCGAGTTATTGATAAATCAGGCTACAGTCCTGTGACCTAAGGCAGTGTACTTTACTGTTGTGACCTCATCCTCTTAATAGAAAATATGTGAGCATGAGGACCCTGAGACATACCACCCCCATCTCTCCCATCTGCATTATTCCTATGAAGGGCCAGTACCCTCAACAGTGCCATCTTCTTTTTATTTCCACAAATGTGATAAATGCTCAACTTTTGTGAAAGTATAGTTTTTCAAACATGAAAACTAGATTAAAAAGCTGAACATCCAGAATAATTATAACCATAAGGTAGTGGTAGTCATGATCACACACAGAGGCTCTTGGTCTGATTTCTACAGAGAGAAACAATGCTTGAATACTTGTAGAACTGGACACCTGAACAACAAGTTGGAAGGCTTTTAAATCCATTTGGTTGGTTATTTAGGAGGTGGAAGTGGCATAAGGAAGGCAGTACTGCTCACAGTCTAGGAAAAAGGAAAGTCTACGTTTTGGTTTCAGTTCGTGTTACCTCTTTTATTTTTCATAGTGGCAAAATATACGTAACATAAAGTTTACCTTCTTAACCATTTTTCAGCATGTATGTTACATTTTTAACATGCTTTTGTTGAATGGTTAAGAATCTAGGAAATGATAAGCCTTACATGTTCCCAAGTGCAGATCAAGTTGAAGCACAAATTGACTTTCCCGAGCCCAACTCCAGGTTCCAGAAACGGGATCCTCAGCCACACACTGTGCATACCTGTAATGCACTTAAGTACTTTCTACTTGTAAAGTACAGAGAGCACATCATAGTTTGTCTAAACCTTTGTGTTGGTGTCCTTCAACGCCACAGCCTTATGTACTTTGGAAATACTCATTATACAGGTTTAAATGTTCCTTCCTCCAAACAGATTTTTTCAATCTTTTCAAATTTTAGTTAAGCTTTATTTTTTTTTAAGTATTGTTAAAAGACAAACCTTAGACAAAGTAAATTTAACCAAGTTTAACTGAGCAAATAACACTTTGCAAATCAGGCAGCCTGTGAACCAGAATAGGCTCACAGAGGTTCCAGCACAGTCACGTGGTGAAAGGTTTTTTTTTCTTTTGAGACAGGGTCTCGCTCTGTTGCCCAGGCTGGGAGGCAGTGGTGCGATCACGGCTCACTGCAGCCTGGGACTCCCAGGCTTAAGTGATCTTCCCACCTAAGCCTCCCAAGTAGCTGGGACAGGCACAGCACCATGCCCCACTAATTTTTGTATTTTGGGGAGGACAGGGTCTCACCATGTTTTCCAGGCTGGTCTCGAACTCCTGGGCACGAGTGATCCACCTGCCTCAGCCTGGGAATTGGTGGTGTGCTTGTCCCAGCTGCTTGGGAGGCTTACGTGGGAGGATCGCTTCAGCCTGGGAGGCCAAAGCTGCAGTGAGCCGTGATCACACCACTGCCCCCCAGCCTGGGCAACAGAGCAAGACCCTGTCTCAAAAAAAAAAAAGAAAAAAGTGCTGGGGTCACAGGCATGACCCACCACGCCCCAGCCTGGAAGAAAAATTATAGGCAAAAAAAGGAAAGTGATGTACGGAAAATGGAAATGAGGTGCTAAAACAGCCAGATTGGCGACAGTTCAGTTGTTTGCCTTATTTGAGCACAGTTTGAACAATTGGCTGCCTATAGCCAAAGCTCAGTGATCAGCACAAGAGTAGATTATAGTCTGTGTACACATCCAGTTAGGTTACAGTTCACTGCATACACAGAAACCTTTAAAATATGTAAAGAGGCAGCTTTAGGCCAAACTTAATTTAACAATATCTTGTTAATATTAAACACAATCATAGCAAAAGTGTCGAAAACCAGTCAAGTGCTACTGTTTTAAATCGAGCCAAACATTAACTTTTATCTGATACTCCTCATTGTCCTACTCCAGTTTGTATTTGTAAATACAGTGTGACCTGTGTCATGAATGAACCTTAATATTCTGTTGCCTAACTTTGAATGAAGCCTGCGCCTTCGTTGGTCAGAGTTCTGGATATGATATGCTCACCATGTTTCCAGAGTTGCTGGTATTTCTCCAGTTAGCGAGGTGGAAATGCAGCGGTGCCTGGGAAGATCAGAGGCACTGGGCTGGCAGGCCTGCTTTGCCCTGCCGCTCACCAGCTATTGTCATTCAGAACAAGCTACTTATGCTCTCCAGGCCTGTCTTCTTCTCCCTACCGCAGAGATGTCAAAACCTATTTCCAGAGAGTGTTAACAAGGACGACATTCAATTACATCTACAAAGTACCTAGCATAAGTGCCTAGAACATAGTAGGTACTCAACGAACATCAATATTACTCTTCTTTTGAGATCAAATTCTCTTAGGCTTATGTGCAACAATCACTTTGAAGTCCTCTGATTGCTCGAAAGACTTTCTTTAAGACTTCAAAGTATTAACCTGATTGTGAAGAGCAAAATGTCTATGTCTAAAGGATTAATCTCATTTCTAGCTTTTAACCTGTCTTAAACACCTCTAGCACTTGCTTCTGTTTGAAATCCCAAAGAACTCTTTCTTTCTGTTAACTGTTACTCTTAACTTTTATTTTTTTCTCTTTTTACCCCCAGGCATAAAGTCCATAGTCATTGTCTGCCACCAGGTTTGTTTTCTATTGCATCTTGATATTTTCTTGTGTTTTCAGTGGGGAGCATGTTAGAATTCCTTAATATACAGATGTCATAGTATATAAGGTTTTCTTGTGACTTAGTCTGGAAATCATTCATAAAAAAAACAGTCATTATTCTTACTGGCTACTGATAAAAATTCTTTAAGTAAGAAAAACTATCGATTTTTTTTTTTTTTTTTTTTTTTTTTTTTTTGGAGACAGGGTCTCACTCTGTTGGCCCAGGCTGAAGTACAGTTGGCATGATTACGGCTCTCCGCAGCCTCAACCTCCCCAGCCTCAGGTGATCCTCCCACCTCAGCCTCCCGAGTAGTTGGGACTACAGGCGTGTGCCACCATGCCCAGTTAGTTTCTGTATTGTTTGTAGAGACAGGGTTTTGTCATGTTGCCCAGGCTGGTCTCAAACTCCTAGGCTCAAGCAGTCTGCCCATCTTGGCCTCCCAAAGTGCTGGGATTACAGGTGTGCACTACCACACCTGGCCTTTGAATATCTTCTATATATAAAATCTTGGCAGAAATGTCTTCTTTTGTCATCATGAAATTTACTTTCATGAATCCTCCTCAGTGCCCCTTGTCTACCATTAGTCTTTATAGAATCCTTTTTGACCTGCTGAAAGACAGCACCATTGTATTTTTCTTTGCAACTTGTGGAGCCACCACCTTCCCCAGTACGTTTTGACCAAAGGCAAAGTGAACTCTGCACCACCTCAGGCCTCTGAGTAACACAGTGGAAAGGGGTGAGAAGACTTGGCTATTGTGGTTTGCAAAAATGGCAGGATGAATGCTCCATATCCTCCCTCAAAAATACATTCACATGAGGATAATTTGGGTGGTGGGCCACAGGCAGCTTGCAAGGACAAAGCCTGTCAACTCTTACTCCAGTGTGTGACCTGAGTGGAGATGTCTACAAAAGAGCAGGAATCCTGTCTTTGAGAATAGGGCAACAATCAACTGGGTGGTTTTAATTATTCAGATAGAGTCACAGGACATTAGATGCAGAATATTAAAATCTCCATCATTCAGGGGAAATGATCTTAAATACAGATAGAGGCATATCACTAGCCGGGTAGCAGAGTCATTATTTAAAGGACACTAGAGTTCCTCTGTGAGGAGGAACTGAGCTCAAAGAAGATGTTCAGTATCAATGCAGTGAGATTACAGAGTACAAATCTGAACACCTTTGTAAGCTTCTCACTAAGTGGAGGAGTGGGGCCAACTCCAGGAGCTTGGTTTTTGCTTGTCTGAGAATCTCTTGACAGGTCCTAGAAGCAACCATTCTATGTTGGGGCTTAAAAAGAAGAGGTAGTGTGATCCAGCAATCCCACCCCTACATGTATACTCAAGAGAAATGAAAACGTGTCCACACAAAGACTTATATGCAAATATTTATTGAAACCTTATTAGCAATAGCCAAAAAGTGGAAACAACCCAGATGGCCATCAGATAATAAATGGATGAGCAACATGTGGTATAGCCATACAATAAAAATATTATTGGTGGTAAAACGGAACCAAGTACTGATACATGCTAGAACACGGATGGCCCTTGAGAACATTATGCTACGGGAAAGAAGCCAGACACAAAAAGTCACGCATTGTGTGATTTCGTTTCTGTGAAATGGCCAAAATAGGCAAATGCATCGAGACAGAAAGTGGGTTAGCGGTTGCCAGGGGCTAGAGAGGATGGGACATTTGAAAGGCGACTAATGAGTAGTGTTTCCTTGGGGGTAATGAAAATGCTCTAAAATTGATTGTGGTAATGGATGCACAACTGTGAATATACTAAAAACCATTGAATTGTACACTTTAATTGGATAGATTTGATGGTGTATGAATTATATCTCCATAAAGCTGTTAAGAGACATCAGGAAGAGACCAGAGTTTCTTCTGTGCGGAGCCCTCTGCCACAGGAAAGGAAGGAAGTCTACCCAGTCTTCCTACAGGCGCTGCTCCTTGGGGCGGTTTAGCATGTCATTACCACAGACTGTGGCTAGGACCTGTGGGACTCATTTGTAAATGCCACCTTCTTTGACAACACCTGGGATTGTTGAAATGGAAGTAATCGATTACTAGAAGCCATTAATTGAAAGCTGTGTGCCAGGCATTGTAGTAAGACATTATAAATACCATCTAACTTATGTAAAATTGACATTATCCCATTCTGTAGGTAAGGAAACTGAGACTACAGGGTTAGGTGAAACCCAAGGTTTCGGAGCCAGTGATTGGCAGAGCAGGTGTTTAAACCAGGTTTGTCTTGGGACAAACCCCAGGCTCTTAAGTACTACATTATCGTGTCTTCCCGCTTCTCCACCCTCAACCCAGCCCCAGTCAAAAAGGCAGCAGGAAAGGGGACAAGTTATCATTTAGAAGAATACTGATTTGGTTTTAAAAGTATTGAATAGAATGACCAAATGATCTAGTGATTCCATTTCTCAGTATATACCCCAGAGAACTGAAAGCAGGGACTCAAAAGGATACTTGCCCACCAGTGTTCAGAGCAGTATTATTCACAACAGCAACCCAGTGTCCCTCAACAGACGCCTGGATGAACAAAATGTGGTACAGCCGTACAATGGAATGTTACTCAGCCCTAAAGAGGAAGGAAATTCCGCCACACGCCACAGCAAGGGTGAACCTTGACGACATTGTCCTAAGTGAAATAAGCCATAGAAGAAACAAATGCTGTATGATTCCACTTACGGCGGTCCCTAGAGTCCCCCTACAGACGGAAAGTAGAATTGCGGTTGCCAAGGACTGGAGGGGAGGGAGAATGGAGAGTTAGTGTTTAATGGCTACAGGGTTTCAGTGGAGGAAAATGAAAAGATTCTGGAGAAGGATGCTGTTGATGGTTGTACAACAATGTGAATGTACTTAATGCCACAGAGCTGTACACTTAAAATGAATAAAATGATAAATGTTGTGTTTTGTGTATTTAACACACACACATACACATCAGTATTGTGTGTGTTTGAAAGTCTAGAGCTAGAAAGCTTTTTTGAGTATATTTAGCAGGAAAACTTAAAAGAAAGTTCTCGTCTTTGGAGGAGACAGGCCTGAGGCATCCAGAGGAAATGAACACCACCTAGGGAGCCAGTTCCATTCCCATGAAAATCACACCTGGAGCGATCCGCACCCTCCACAGCCCCAGGAGCGATCCGCACCCTCCACAGTCCCGGGAGTGAACCGCACCCTCCACAGCCCCAGGAGCGATCCGCACCCTCCACAGTCCCGGGAGTGAACCGCACCCTCCACAGCCCCGGGAGTGAACCGCACCCTCCACAGCCCCGGGAGAGAACCGCACCCTCCACAGCCCCGGGAGCGATCCGCACCCTCCACAGTCCCGGGAGCGATCCGCACCCTCCACAGTCCCGGGAGTGAACCGCACCCTCCACAGCCCCAGGAGCGATCCGCACCCTCCACAGTCCCGGGAGTGAACCGCACCCTCCACAGCCCCGGGAGTGAACCGCACCCTCCACAGCCCCGGGAGTGAACCGCACCCTCCACAGCCCCGGGAGAGAACCGCACCCTCCACAGCCCCGGGAGCGATCCGCACCCTCCACAGTCCCGGGAGCGATCCGCACCCTCCACAGTCCCGGGAGTGAACCGCACCCTCCACAGTCCCGGGAGCGATCCGCACCCTCCACAGCCCCGGGAGCGATCCGCACCCTCCACAGCCCCGGGAGCGATCCGCACCCTCCACAGCCCCGGGAGCGATCCGCACCCTCCACAGTCCCGGGAGTGATCCGCACCCTCCACAGTCCCAGGAGTGAACCGCACCCTCCACAGCCCTAGGAGTGCCGTTACCAAGGGAGAGGAAGGAGAAGGAATAGGGATGAGATCTCTTAAATAGACATTTGATGACATTTTCCCCAATTTGTTAGTTGCAATGACGAAGACTTTTTGCTGTTTAACCTGTTATTATGGAAAAATGTGAAAATATACAAAAGTATGTAGAATTGTCAAATGAGTCCTGTGTATCCATCACCCATCTTTAAGAGTTAGATACTCTGTAATATCAATAGATGGTATTTTTCATCCTTACGCCTACCCATGCTCTCCCGTATTGTTTTGAGAAACTGTGTATTCGTTTTCATATTAAACTATTTTGGTACATATCTGAAAAGATGATTCTTTTTAAAACATAGCTATGATACCGTTATCATAACTAACAAAATAATGCTAATTCCTTAATATCATCAAATACAAAGTGTTTAAATTTTAATGTCTCACAAATATCACCAATCTTCAAACTGGGTGATCTGTCTGTAATCTGTCTTTAAAAGAAATCTATAGGCCCCATCTGTATCTTTTTTTCTTCCTTGCTCTTCTTTTTCCTTATAATTTATTTGCTGAAGAAGTCAGTTCTTTTGTCTGGATTTTGCTGATTTTATCTTGGTTTTCTTGCTTATCTTACATAAAAACTGAAAGCTCTATCTTAACCAACTAGGTTCTTAGCCTTGGCCAGACATTACACTCACCTGGGAAGCTTGTAAAATCCTGACATGTGTGGAAAGCAGCTTGTCACTTCCTCAATAAGTTAAACATAGAATTACCATATGACCCAGCAATTTCACTCCAAAAGAATGGAAACAGGTTCAGACACAGTCTTGTATTCGTATGTTCACAGCAGCACTATTTTCAATAGCCAAAAGATGGAAACAACCCAAATATCCTTCAGCTGAGGAAAGGGTCAACAATATGTGGTATTTCCACGCAATGGAATATTATTCATCCTTAGAAGTCACAAAGTACTCATGCGTGTTTACAACCTGGATGAACCTTGAAAACACTGCGGTAAATGAAAGAAGCCTGACACAAAAGCCACATATTATATGATTTCATCTGCATGTCTACGGAAACCCATAGAAACAGAACATAGATTAGTGGTTGCCAGAGGCTGGGAAAATAAGAAAACAGGGAGGGGCTGCTTAATGAGTATGGGGTTTCCTTTTGGGGGTGATGAAAATTTCCAGAACTAAATAGTGTTGATGATTGTACAGTTATGAAGGTACTTAATACCACTGAATTACGCACTTTGAAGTGGTTTAAATGATTTTATGTTATGTGAACTTTACCACAATTTTTTATAATTCTGATGTATAAAAACACCCCAGACCAAGTAATTAATAATCTCTTAAGTGTGACCCGAGCATCAGAATATTCTAAAGCCCTCCAAGGGATGCCAGTGTACACGCAAGGTTTGGAATCATTGACAGAGGCTGGACGGGTCAGGATCGTGTCTTTGGAGCCTTCCTCACAGGTGGTGGTGGCGTGCTAGATTTAAGCCCGTGCAAGTTTGCTTCTGTATTCTAAAGGATAACTATGTCTTTTGCACTCCTGTCAGACAGCAGACGCTGTCAGGAATCTGCTGCCTACAGTCACAAAAAATGTTCTCTCCTTTTTTAGAAAATAAAATTTAGGAAAACCTAAGAAGAAAACGATCGATCATCTTGATTTTGCTTTTATGTGAGAGGAAAGAGCCCTCTGTTTCTAGCTACCATATAGATGTGTAAAACAGTGCCACCCATAGCCTCACCCGTGAGATGGCAGCACGGGGACAAGTGGCCCTCAGGCTGCCCAGCACACACACCCTGCCCAACACAACAACAGTAACAAAAAGAGACAAAGTAACCAGTCCTGATTCCTTGGGGAGGCGGGCGAACCTTCTCTAGTCATCTTTGTCCTGCAGTGGCTGGTGCTGCCGTCATACCCGTAGAATCTCAGCAGTGCGTGCTTCCCTACCCTGGGAAGGAAATGTCATTTCCTTGCAAGACTCACTTCTCATGAGCACTGATAGGCCACAGCTGCTGCTGGCTCTGCAGCCTTGGCAGAGTTGCAAATAGGTTAAACGGAGATGGGAGTTCTAGTTCTCTTTTGCTTCAGCCAGCTTCCTTTTCTGGCTAAATCTGAGTAAACTCAAAAGAAACTGGGCAAGGGGTTTACGGCTCCCCATGGTGCTTCACAAAGGTAAGTTCCACTTATGTGATCCAAGAGGTGGTTGGCTTGTGATTTTCTTTGCTCAGCATTACTCGTTAATATCCTGAACTCACATTTCTGAAAACAACTGTAGCTGAGATGTGCTCCTGGAGCAGAACTACAAATTAAACTTGGAAATCAAACCTCCCACTTTCACTCTCAGCCTTTTGTAGCACAGGCTGGGTACTCTTCTCTTTGAAAGCATGGGATTTTCGTTTAAAATGTTAATTAGAAAGAATAGAAGACATTCTTTCAGAGGAGGTGTGTTGTAGTTTCTGTTTTTGTTTTTGTTTTTTTTAAGTGCTAGATTTTGAAGTCAGAAGACCTAGAAAGGAGTATCTCAGCTCCATAATTCATTTACCAATTGTGCAGATGTACACAGGTTACTCAGTTTCTCTGGTTCCATATACTCATTCCTAAGGAAATATGAATATTATGTATTGCATAGGACAAGGGTAAAAACGGTGAGAAACTAAGTAAAGCATGTAAGCTTAGCACATGCCCAGTAAATGTCACTTTCCTAAATATGTATTGCTTATGTATTAAGCAAGTGATCCTCAAACTTAATCCCTGAGAGGCAGGGAGGTTAAGAGATGAGATGCAAAAATGCCCTTTTTCTTTTCTGTGGGCCTGTCCTGAAAGCAACAAGGAATTGGGTACGATCATGAAAACTTGCTTCGGGTTAAACCAAGTTAAAAGTTAGGATCTGCTGATATGTCTTGATCTGTCAACTGGGGATCCACGACTGCTTAAAGATAAAGGCGTAAGTCAGGGATAAAATAATGAAGCCAAGGCATATAATGATTGCCTCTCAATCGTGAGTTGTATCCTGCTGCTTCTTTTCACAAAACATATTTTCCAAGTCTTTAAATATTCTTCTATAATGTCGTTCTTAATGATTGCACAGTGAGGATACGGTACAGCAAAAAGCTATGGACAGCTCTGTGGCAGCTAATTTGAAAATCTAATAAAAAATAAATTAACCTGAGGAATAGAAAGCTTGAATAGACCAATTACCATAGAAGAGATTAAAATATCTACTGGTTTGAGCCTTTTCAGACTTTCTTTTGGCCTAGTCCTTGATGAATTTTTGTGAATGGCTTACAGACAATGTTTTCTTTGTTGTCTTTGGAGGGAGCTTTTTTGCAGGCACAATTTTCTTTTTTCTCTTTTAAGAGATGAGGTGTTGCTATGTTGGCCAAGTTGGTCTCAAACTCCTGGCCTCAAGTGATCCTCCTGCCTTTACCTCCCAAACTGCTGGGATTACAGGCGTGAGCCATTGCACCCAGCCAGACACAAATTTTTTTCATGTATTCTCTGAGATACATGTGTGTGTATTTAGTTTGTCCATTGTATTATTCAAATTCTCTGTGATTACCTTTTTAAGAGGAATATCAAAGCTCCCCACCATCATTTTGCCTTTGTCAGTTTCTCCTTTTATTTCTAATAATTCAGGTTTTATATACTTCGCTACAGTCTTATTTAGTGCTTACAGCTTTATGACTGCCGCATCCTGTCTGTAAATGTTGCTCATTATTTAGTTTGAAGGTTTTAGACTCAATTCTGCCTTGTCAAATATTAATATAAACTAGAATTTTCCCCCGCATATATACCCGGTATATCTTAACTCATCCCTTGATTTTCAGTCTTCCTTTACCACTTTTGTTTAAAGGGTTTTCATCTTGTTTTGTTACCTTTCCCAGTTAGTCCATTCACATTTCATATTATGGCTGATGGAGTTGATTTTATTCTGTCTTATGTTATTATGTATTTTAGTTGGTTCTCTCTTTTCCTTATTTTTAATGGTTTTTATCAAGTGACTATTCATTCCCTGTTTATCTCTCTTTTGTCAGTTTGGAAATTCCATTCTACTTTTCTGTGCCCTTAATGACTGTCTTCTGTAGCCCAATGTTTATAATTAGAAGCATATATTTTTTACTATTATGTATAAGAGGATACCAGTTTTTCCCACCAAGACCTGTTTCCCTAGACATAAATTTCATAAAGAAGTTTATTGCTGACTAGTTGTTTTTCCCGAGTCTCTGAGTGCTCTTGCTGTGTACCACTTGTTGTCTTCCTCTCCTCAGCAGTTTTAGAAGCAGCCATTTGTTTCAGGTTTTTCTGTCTGGCTCCTGGATTCCCTTAGGCAATATTTCTTTGTCGTCTCACTGGGGCCCAGGTCTGCTTGTTACAGCACCCCATGTGCCTACAGTTCTGCAGGTGGTAAACGTGAGTGGCTCCCTGCTCCGGAGGACCAGTGGGGCAGCAGTGGCGGCAGCTGCCAGTCTCCCTGTTCCCAGGTCCCCTGTGCAATGCCAGCCTGACGAACAGGGAGCAACAGCCTTGCTCTCTAGCCCCTGCTTGGCAGATAAAGCTCACTTGGGAGGCAGTGACAGCCAGATTCCCAGGGCTCACACGTCTCCTCCAGGCCCACTAATCCCAGAATCCCAGCGTTGGCCTCCAGGCCCTGCATGGTCCACCAGGAGGAAAGCTCTCATGAACTCCCCCTGCAGCCCACGCCCAGGCCCAAGACCTCACTCACACCAGTGTCTCCCCCAGCGCTGGGGTGGGAACAGGGGAAGCATAGTCTATTCAGGGCTCCACAGTTCCAGAATTCCTCTCTCTAGTACCTCTTAATGAAAAAGATTTCAGATTTAATTAGTTTTTGTAGCCAGAGCTGGGAATCTAATCCATATTTAGAACATAATCTGTAAGAAAAGCATATTCCAAGTACTTACCAACTTTGAATGAAGACTTCTGCAGCACAGCTGCCTTCCCACCCGTCCATACCCCTGCTTCACCTCAGCACGAATCTCTCTGACTTGGCCTGTTGGGCTGCTTTGCGCTCTCGCTTCTCCCTCCCTTCAGTGTGGCTGGTGGAGTAAGGATGGTCCTAGGTCCTACATTTTCACATTTTCCACAGTAAGATACATTACATTTTTAAAAATAATTGTTTTCAACAAAGCCATAAAGGAAGATCTGGTAGGCTGAATAATGGCCCCCAAAGGCGTCCACATCCTAATCCCCGAGACCTGTGAATGTTACATTTGATGGCAAAAGGGACTTCACAGGTATGATCAAATGAGGACCTTAAGATGGAGATCAGCCTTGGTTATCCACATTGGCCCTACTGTAATCACAACTATTCTTCTAAGAGGAAGGCAGAGGGAGGTTTGATTGCACAGAGAGAGAAAGTGGCAGAAGCAGAGATCAGAGCGGCTGCTTCGAGGATGAAGCAGGCACCCCAGGCTAAGCAACGCAGGAGGCCATACAAGCTGGAAAAGACAAGGAAACAGATTTTCCCCAGAGCCTCGGGAAGAAGCCAGCCCTGACAACACCTTGACTTTCACCCAGTGAAACTGATTTTTGACTTCTGGCCTCCATAACTGTAAGAGAATAAACTTGTGTTGTTCAAAGCCACCTGTTTGGGGGTAATTTTTGACTGCAGCATTAGGAAGCTAACACACAGGGTAATCCTTTGGAGAAACCTGGGTTGTCTCAGGGCAGCCCGCGAGCCCAATGCCACTATTTCCCATATTCCCAGCTGAGTGCGGGAGCAGGTAGACGCAGTCCGAAGATCACACCATCAAGTGCAGTGGCCACTGATGGCCTGGAAGCATAGCTGGGGTGCAGGCAGGGTTGTGGCCGCTCGCAGCCTCTAAGCCCTCAGGGACAGTGCACACGTGGAGAGAAGTCCTTTGGGGGATTGAGCAGTTTTTTGAGCAAGCGCATATGTAAGGAGCACATCAGAAGCTCTGGAGAGGCAAAGTCAAGCCTTTGAAGGGCATAGGCCCAAGCACTGGCTGCCCAAGAGAAGCCCCAGGCCCTTCTCTGCTGGTAGCATCTGCTCCCTCCAGGTGCTGGCGGCATCACCTAGTCATGCAGGTGACATGGGGCCTCACACAAAAAAATGTAAATAAAAGCAAGATTGATGAGCTTGGTCATACCCCATGTAGTAGTTCATATCCAGAGTCCTGTGGGAACATCGAAGTGTGGACAAAGAGGAAACCAAAAGAACAGTAAGAGGGTTCAAGAGACATGTTCACAAAATAGTTATGAGGAGGGAAAAGAGGAGGGAAGCATCTTCTCCAAATGCACGTATTTGTGACTGTCACTTCCTCTCAAGGGGCACTGAAATCTCCAGATATGATTTCCTTCCCTGAAGAGGAAGAAGTTAAAGGTGGCTCCTTTTTATCTGCCATCTGTCAGCCAGGCAGCCTTGTCACTTTGACTTTCTTCAAAGAGATGTACTCCACCACTATGAAGCCCAGTAGTTCCATTTACTCCTGAGTGAGGGGTGAGCTAGGGACGCAATTTGTATCTACGAGGCCACAGGGCATTCTTATTTTGCAACTCCATATCACCCCTGTGTACAGCTGGGAGCAGGGTGTGTGAGCGGTGATGGGTGCCCTGCTTCCAGGATATAAATGTCATCACTGCAGTCCTCTTCACTATGGCAGCTTCTATAAAATATTTCTCTGCAGACAGTAAGAAACCTAAATTGGGATTTTCACTTAATTTTTATTAATCCAAGCAGAACCAAGTTTGCTTTATAGAGAAATCAACAACTGTAAGACACCCTCTCCCATTGCCTGCCCAGACTCTTCCTCGTCCAGGTGCTGATTTGTCTACCACCAAAAAAATTGTAAAGGATGGTGTAAATGTCAATTTCTGGGTTTCATACTATCCTATAATTCGGCAGGATGTCTCCATTGGAGGAAATAGGGTGAAGGGTACAGGGACCCTCTCTCTACTATTTTTTGCAACTTCCTGTGAATGTATATTTATTTCAAAATTAAAAGCAAGGGTTAAAAATGGTAAATTGTAATGTAACAATGTTGTTTTTATCACAGGTTTTAAAAAACCCACTAAAAATAAATAAAAATGAAAAAAGGATGATACAGATCACATTGTCTATTAGAAAAATCACGTAAGCTATAAATGCAAGCTATATGTGTAATTGTCTAGTTGCCACATTTTAAAAAGCAAAAAAGAACAGGCAAAATTAATTCTAATAACAATTTCTTTAACCCAGTATATTTAAAAGATTGTCATTTAAGCAATACAAAAAAATTAACATATTTTCCTTTTTTTCTTACTAAGTCTTTGAAACCCAGTCTGTATTTTATACTTTATAGAACATCTCTGTTTGGACCAGCCATATTTCAAGTGCTAAACAGCCACATGTCCAATGGAGTAGCACAAGTCTAGACAGTATTGGGGCTGTAATTGCGAAATATTTAGTGACTTTTTAACCTGTATTTTTTAACATCTTTATTGAGATTCACATACCTTAAAATTTACCCATTTAAGGTATATTATTCAGCCGGGCACGGTGGCTTATGCCTGTAATCGCAGCGCATTGGGAGGCCGAGGCAGGTGGATCACTTGAGCCCAGGAGTTCAAGACCATCCTGGGTAACATGATGAAACCCTGTCTCAACAAAAAGTACAAAAAGAGGCCAGGCACGGTGGCACATGCCTGTAATTCCAGCACTTTGGGAGGCCAACGTGGGCAGATCACTTAAGGTCAGAAGTTTGAGACCAGCCTGGCCAACATGGTGAAATCCCATCTCTACTAAAAATACAAAAATTAGCCAGGTGTGGTGGCGGGTGCCTGTGGACCCAGCTACTTGGGATGTTGAGACAGGAGAATTGCTTGAACCCGGAAGGCGGAGGTTGCAGTGAGCCAAGATCGTGCCACTGCACTCCAGCCTGGGTGACAGTGAGACTGTCTCAAATAAATAAATAAAGTATATTATTCACTGGCTTTTAGTATATTCAGAGTTGTGCCAGCATCACTACAATCAAATTTAAAACATTTTCAGCACACCAGAAAGAAACCCCGTACTCATTCGCACTCACTCCACACTCCCTCCCACTTGCCCACCCATCCCCAGCCACTAACCTGCCCTCTGTCTCTATGTATTGGCCTGTTCTGGATATTTCATATAAATGGAATCATACAATATGTGGCCTTTTGTGTTTGGCTTCTATCACTTAGCATAATATTTTCAAGGTTCATCCTTGTAGCATGTATCTGAACTTCACTCCTTTTTGAGGCTAAATAATATTCCATTGTATGAACATACCACATTTTATTTATTTGTTCATCAGTTAATATGTATTTGGGCTGTTTTCACTTCTTGGCGGTTGTGAATTGTGTTGCTGTGACCATCTTTGTGCACGTTTCTGAGGCGTATGTTTTCATTCCCTTGGGTGTAGTTGCTGTACAGAATCATTCTTGCACTGTACTTCAGTTGCTTTTTCATGCATTTCTCTGGGCTGTTATCTGCCTGCTGTCTGCATTCTTCAAATACCTGAGCATTTCTAGCAACTACACTGCCGATCTCCCCAGGGTCTTGAAGGGTTTGTTTCCATTCCCCTGAGCATTATACTCAGTTGGTGCTGGTGGCCTGGCTCTGGCCAGGTCACTAGCAAAGGGCCAAGGATGTGAAGGTTTTTCATCACTGTCTTCCAAGGGAGAGGAAGCCTTGTGTTTGCACAGCTCTGGAAGAGTCATTGTTCTGCATCAGAAGAGCTTAGGATACTTCTATCAAAAAGTAAAGGAAATAATCTTCATATCTAAAGGGCTTAACTTTGTGGTAAACTCTGCAGCTTTCTATAATAGGGTCCCAAAGGTAAGTGACAGGAACGTATTACTCTAATTCAGAAATAAACCATGTGCATGGTGAAAGGCGATGTCTTCGCAAACTGCCCAGAAGGAAGGTCTTGTCCCACCAATGGGCAGTGTCCTCAGGGTTAGACCCAGAGTCAGTGTCCCTTTGTCTTGATGCTGAGAAAAGTGGATCAGCCGCCTTGTTTGAACCAAAACGCACATCAGAAATGGGTCCAAAGGAAAGCCACTTACTGCAGGCTGAGTTTGTGGGATTCAGAGGTCAGAGTGCAAACCCAGAGCTTTTCTCACTGAGCTTATCATCAAAGCCTTCAAGGTTTGCTTTGCCTAAAAAGAGCTGAGTCCCTCAGATATCTCAGTTTCCTAGTTCATATGAGTACATTAGAACGTCTTGTCCCTAAACAGCATGAAGAATGCTCCTGGGAGGGGTGCCTCCCTCTGCCAGGCTCAGCTGCAGGCTTGTGGCAACTCCATGTGTGGTGACCACTCTGGGATTCTTGTTCCTCTTCTGCCAGGGCTTGCCCTGAGACCTTACACAGGTGACTCCTTCTCTTGGAATTCATTCCTTCGTCCAGCAGAGTGGCTGAGGCACCACGCGAGGCACTGGGAACAGGCCAGGGTCACTGTGCTCGAGGAACTGACAGGTGAATGGGGGTGTTTGCTCACAGCCTGGGTCATGGGCTCCATCCCGGCTGCCTAGACCAAAGGTTCCATGTCGAGGCAACCAAAGCATGTGATAGGCCAGGACTAGTTGATTGGAAGAGGGAGGAGAGCTGGGGGAGGGCCTGGCACCCAGCCAGGGAATGAGGATTCCGTAGGAGTGAGCCATCCTAGAAACCACTGGAGGTTTCTGGGCCATGGGTTGATGTGATGAGCATGTGTCTCTAGAGGGATGACTTCAGCAGCCATGCAGGTGCAGCAAGGTGGGGCACAGGCCCCTTCTCCTTACCGTGGCTGCAGCAGCCACGTCAGCAAGGCCAGGAAGATGCTCACAGTTCTTGTATGAAGATGACTGGCTTCCCAGCCTCTTAGGGATAGTTTCACTAGGAGACGAGGGAAGCCCTGCACTGCTAGGTGCTGGGGACATGAAATGGGCTCATCCCAACTTCAGGGGGCTCACAGTCTCATGTCAGAGACAAACACCGAAACCACACAAAGTATACTCACAACCCAGTGTGGCTGGTGCTGGATGGTGACAGGGCACAGTTGTGAATACCTGGAGCAGTTTTCCAGAGCATGGTCTGCGGCCTTATCCCAGATCTGCTAACTCATAATCTCTGGGGAGGCAGAGAGCCCTCCGGTAAAGCCGGCACCCACTGCAGTCTGAGCCCTGCTGGCCAAGGGAGCCGGGCAGGGAGGTGGGTCAGGGACACTTGCTGGTTGGAGGGCCCGCCCCTGTCAGGATGAAGTCTGCCGCCCACTGTTGATCCTTTGTTAAATGGCTACCTGCTTGCCATCATGGTGATTGAAGTCGAATCCCATCTCCCTGAATAGAGGTGATTGTCGCTTGGAGATCCACCCATGAGGGATGAATATTTCTGAAGTCACACTTTAGGCCAGTCGGAGGCATAGGCAAAAGGCGGAAATGGAAAAGAGGAGAAAGAACAAAGAAGCAAAGGACATAAGAACTCAGCCCTGTGTCTGCTAGGAAAGAAACCTTTTCTCTAAATTTTCTAAAAACTAGGAAGTAAGGCTGGACTCAGTGGTTCACACCTATAATCCCAGCACTTTGGGAGGCTGAGGTGGGAATTTCACCTGAGACAGAGCAGCGGGGGCAGCAGCAGGAGAAAAGTGGACATGTTCTGGTGTGGAGGCCAAGGCTTCTGGGCCGGTATGTGGAGCCCTACAAGTGGGTTCTTTTCCCTCTAGGTGTTTAACTGGAAGGTATGTTCAGTAAACTGGGCCTCAGGGACCACACTAGGGCTGTGGAGCCACCAGCCAATTCCCCAGGCCCTAAGACAGCCCCAGGGACCTGGGAGGTGAGCTTGCTAAGAGAGAGCGTGTGCCCGCCCTCTCCACGGCCCTGGGAGAGCAGAGGACTACCAAAGAGCCACCACAGTTGGACTGGCACCAGAAAACAGGAGGCCCAGCTCCCCACCTCCCAGACCCCAGTGTCATCTGAGGCTCCCATCCACGTCATCTTCACCTCTTGCAGCACACAGCTGTTCTGTGCAGCTGTGCGTGCATCTCCCCTGCAGAATGCTAGAGAAAAACTACACTGTGAGTGGCTCGATGGTGGCCTGTCACCACAGACCATGGCTTCCTTTTCAGGGACAGCCCAAACTCTTACTCCGAGGTCCTCGCCCTACAGGTGACACTCAAAATACTGAACTGCCGTGGGCCATCGGCATGGGCCCCTCAGAATGGAATCTGGTCGCGCTAGAGCAGCATGTCAGTGGCCTACCAGGCCAGATGGGAGCCAGGGCACCCCAGGAGAGGGAAAAGGGAGGAGGGCAGTTTATTAAGTAGGGGCCGTGGGAACAGCTGGAAGTTGTTCAACTTCTGACCACAAGGCCAGGGCATGCTGCCTGAACGTCAGTTTTGTCCTATACCCCGGCCAAGGGTCCCCTTCCCCCAGAAGTGCTTATACGTATACTCAGATGTCTCCTAGATCCTGCGATGTGGGGGTCCTACAGAAGAGCTTAGGAGCAGTGTCTTCGGGGGTGAGTCACGTTAACCAGGGCACTGCTTGTTCCCTGCTCACCGCCCCCTGTCCCACCACTGCTGACTGCCCATGTCCCACCCTCTGTTCTCTCTCACCTCCACTCTCCATGACCAGCTCTTCCTGAGGGCTTCTGGGAACAGAGCTGCTGCCTTCCCGAGGCTGGGGTTGGGATGAGGACGTGTGTGCTGAGCGAGGGTCAAGTATTCTCAGAGCACCGGGCCCACTGCCCCAGCTGAGGCCCTGTCAGGCCCTGTGGCTCAAGGCGATGTTTTTCCCTCTCACCATTTTGGGGCTCCCTTCAGCCTGACTTCTGGGTGGGGGGAGACAAAGGAGCCCAGGTAGTTGGGTATGTTGGTATACCGATGACCCCAATATCGTTAGCCTGTGACATCATTCCTGGAAGGCTCCCAAGCCCTGGGAAATTGAGAGGGTGTTGCTGGCCACGTGTTTACAAGTCCGTGGATGTCGCGTAGCAGCTCCCTGAGGGAGGTGAGCAGAGGAACATACTGCAGCCATTGGGAGGAGACAGTTGGGTCTGTGCGTGCCAACGTGGAAGGATGCCTGGGATGCTGAGCGTGAAGGAGAGCATGTACTGGGAAACCGTGCAGACGGGGATGTCTGCCTCGTTTGTCTCTGTTGGTATTCACCACCATTTCTTGCATGAGCCAGATGTTGGCCCACGAGCGCAGAGGTAGGACAGCTGCCACCAGCCATGGCATGCAGCCAGGAACAGGTGGATGTGGGACTGTCCAAGAGAAACTTCTGGAAAGCACTGGGTCGGCGAGAGGAGGGAGCCCAACGGGGAAGGGGCACTCATTGCATCTCATCAAGGGATGTTGTTCATTCCTGACGATTTGATGCCAAAAAGCATCAGACTCCCCTGGACCACTTATTTAAAGAGGCCAGCAATCAGCACATTTTACAAGCCTAAATTTAAAGAAAAAAACAAGTATGACTTCTGGTTCCTACTCTGGAAGCCCTTTCCAGTTCTGAGTGTTGCATTTCTGGTGCAGGACCCTTGACTCTGGTTCTGCTGTGTTCGTTGCTCTGGAAATTGTGAAACTCTCAGAGTGGTGACATCTCAATGCTACCCGCCATCTGGAAGCCCACAAAGTCAGGAACTTCTAGAATCAGATTAGTGTGGGTGATTATTCTCTGTACCGTCCAACCAAGCAGGGTGCTGGCAGTCATCACCGGATGAAGGTGACAGGCAAAACCAGGGAGGCCGTCCATCTTTAAGTCTCTGCAAACAAGTCTTCTGGGGATGGGTGAGCAGACTCGGGATGTGCCTTTTTCCCGCAGGTTTCTGCTGAGCTTGCCTGCTCAGTTATATTTGATTAAAGCAAATATTAAAACCAGAACTGGTTCAAGTCGACTTTGAAAAAAGGTGTCCCTGGAGGAGTAAAATAACAACAGGCAGCCTGATTGCCCCAGAAAGTTTGTCAAAGATATGTATCCCCCAGAGCAGGTGGTGAACACACCATCAAGAACTTGCTCATTCCCCAGCACACATCCCAGGAAGGATCAGCCTCAGCATTTGCATCACCTTGTAGCTAATTGTAGAGGGGCCAGGATTCTGGCCTTGCCGCTGTGGTTTTGGTGGCATGAAGCAGAGTTCAGGGACAGACATGCAGCTGAGCTTTGGTCTCTCCCCAAATGCAGGAGTGTGACCTCTGATGGGACATTACCTCTGGCAGTTTGCCTGGGCTCTGTTGTCGCCATCCCAGGGAAATGCCAGGTTTTCCTCTGACGTGATGTTTGGGCCCTGAGTTCTGCCCAGTTCCCAGAAGGGCCTGGTGACAGTTGCGGCAGTGCTGACATGTAACGTGGTGTGCTGTTTGGATGCTTTTGTCTCGGGGATCCTCTGTTGTGCAATGCTGCAATGCCAGCTCCAGGGGACTCCTGGCTAGTGGCTGGCACTGTTTGTATCCACTCTTCCCATGTGGCCTTCTCTGCACTGACCATCAGGGGTCGGGGAGGTAGCCGTCTCCTGTTTTATAACTGTCTTCCCCACCCTGAGCAGTGGTCTAGACCAGCAGATAGAAATCACGCATAAAACCCAGCTCCTCTAAAGTACAGGTGTACATATAGAAGACAGGAAGATATTCCCTGCCTTCAGCTAGCAGTGTAGCAGGCGATAGCATCCTATAGGAACACTGTAGGGTGCAAAGATACTTCTGTCCCCTGGTTTTGTAGTCCATGGCCCTATGTACCCAAAGTACACCTGGTAGGAAAATAGATACTCTGGTTTTTTGCTTGTTTTTTGGAAAAGTATGCACTCCATTGCAGGGCAGGGGTGGAGGGAAGGAAAACCAGGTAATACTCAAAAAATAAGTGCTAAGCCTGAATCCCCTTAGATGAGCACTGCTTCTCATTCAGGGACGCTAGTCAGAAGCAAGGAAGCAATGACATGCGTGCCCCCACCCCCCAACTACCTCCCTGATGAGAAATTCCACAGGTAGGGCTGGGCCACCTAGGTCCTACTGAGAGGCGAAGCCAGCTGGACTTCCTGGGTCGAGTGGGGACTTGGAGAACTTTTCTGTCTTACAAGAGGATTGTAAAATGCACCAATCAGTGCTCTGTAAAAACGCACCAATCGGCACTCTGTAGCTAGCTAGAGGTTTGTAAAATGCACCAATCAGTGCTCTGTAAAAATGCACCAATCAGCGCTCTGAGGCTAGCTAGAGGTTCGCAAAATGGACCAATCAGCACCCTGTAAAATGGACCAATCAGCACCCTGTAAAATGGACCAATCAGCACTCTGTAAACTGGACCAATCAGCAGGACATGGGCAGAGACAAATAAGGGAATAAAAGCTGGCCACCCCCAGCCAGCAGCAGCAACCCACTGGCGTCCCCTTCCACGCTGTGGAGACTTTGTTCCTTCGCTCTCCACAATAAATCTTGCTGCTGCTCACTTTTTGGGTCCACACCACCTTTAAGAGTTGTAACACTCACGGTAAAGGTCTGTGGCTTCATTCCTGAAGTCAGAGAGACCACGAACCCACCAGAAGGAACAAACTCCGGGCACACTACAAAGCAGACCCTGTGGCTCCCGTGCACAGACCTCAATAGGAACCTCTGCCTTAACATGTGTGCCCATTCAAAAAGGACTCATTCCTGCAGAGGGAACAGAAAGCTTGTGAGATGAGAACCACTGCTAGCTGCCCACGACTTTGGGCTCTTTGAGATCCATTCAAATAATTTCATTCCCGGCCAGGCACCGTGCCTCATGCCTATAATCCTAGCACTTTGGGAGGCCGAGGTGGATGGATCCCGAGGTCAGGAGATGATGACCAGCCTGGCCAATATGGCAAAACCCCATCTCTACTAAAAATACAAAAAAATTAGCCAGACGTGGTGGCATGCACCTGTAGTCCCAGCTACTCGGGAGGCTGAGGCAGAAGAATCGCTTGAACCCAGGAGGCAGAGGTTGCAGTGAGCCGAGATCATGCACTCCAGCTTGGATGACAGAGCGAGACTCTTTCTCAAAAAATAAAATAGTTTCATTCCCTTTCCTATGATGATGCGGAATGTCACAGATGCCACAGAAAGAGACCATCACATGGTGGGCCTTTTTTGTGGTTGTTTTTTTTTTTTTTTTTTTTTTTTTTGTTATGGAGACAGAGTCTCATTCTGCCACCCAGGCTATAGTGCAATTGTGCAATCTCGGCTCACTGCAACCTCTGCCTCCCAGGTTCAAGCATTTCTCCTGCCTCAGCTTCCCAGTAGCTGGGATTACAGGCATGGGCCACCACGTCCAGCTAAATTTTTTTGTATTTTTAGTAGCGACGGGGTCTTGTCACATTGGTCAGGCGGGTGTTGAACTCCTGGCCACAAGTGATCCGCCCGCCTCAGCCTCCCAAAGTGGTGGGATCACAGGTGTGAGACACCACACCCAGCCTTTTTTAAGTGAACATGAGACATTCAGAAAGACAACAAGCCGGTGCAGCATGCTGACAAAAGTGGATAAGAGTGAGGACAACTGCGTGTTCATGATTGAGGCAGACACCTGAGAATGAACAAGCGCTCTATCTATAGTCACCCAGGGACAGTGGATGTGGACTGGACGTGTGGGCATGCTGATGAAGAGTGCACGCTCTTGCACCTTGTTTCTCTCTTGTCCCAACAAGCAAAGACGAAACATATTAATTATTAACTGTGACACGGGATAGTGGGCAGGGATATGAACTTGCTCATCACTCTGCCAGCAACAACACAGAGGAAATAAGAGGCCGACTCCCCACTGCCTCCCTCCACATTAAGAATATCCCATATCTAACATTCAAGGCTTACAGGAAGGATGGAGATGGAGTGTGTACTGGGAGAGGGGAAGCAAAAAGATGCACCCCTGGCTTCTTTCACATGGCCTTCTTTCTCAGCTACCACACTTCATTGGAGATTGAAGTTTCAGTATTCCAGTTCGGATGATCCCTTCAGGCACTCCTCTGTTGCATAAAATGGTGGCAGAATTAAAAGTAGCAGTGTTATGCTATTATATGTAAACATTTTGAAAAACAAGCCTGCTGGATTCTAGAAAGAAAAAAGGTTATGTGGACTGAGGGCTATTTTTAGAGGAATACCATGGGGTCGATATTCGTAAGTTTGGGTTTCACAATACTTCTTGCTGCTATACAGAACAGACTGAAAAAATACAGACATAAATTCATGTGTCCCTATTTCAGTGTGCTTTTTTTTTGAATTGGGAAATATAAAAAGCATGATAAAAATGGTCTATTTGACAAATAAGCTTTTATCGCTGGTGACTTGACAGTGGCAAGGCTGTGGCAGTGCCTCTCCATGCTGGGATCTCACCAGGGACAATTGCTGCATGAATTGCAGGCGGCGTGAAAGGATGTCCAGCCTTGTCATAAGCCAGAGGAGGGCCACAGATGTCATGCTTACCTTCCTCAGTGCAGGTGAGCAGGAGCAGGCAGTTTAGCATGTGCCATCTGAGACCATATGCTGAAATTCTACTATCAAAAATGTATTGGCCAGGCATGGTGGCTCATGCCTGTAATCCTAGCACTTTAGGAGGCCGAGTCAGGCGGATCACCTGAAGTCAGGAGTTTGCGACCGGCCTGGCCAACATGGTGAAAGCCCATCTGTACTAAAAATACAAAAATTAGCCAGGTGTGGTGGTGCATGCCTGCAGTCCCAGCTACTCGAGAAGCTGAGGCATGAGAATCACTTGAACACAGGAGGTGAGGAGGTGGAGGTTGCAGCGAGCTGAGAGCACACCACAGCACTGCAGCCTGGATGACAGAGTGAGACTCTGTCTCAAAAAAAAAAACAAAACAAAACAAAACAAAAATATATATATATATATTGTTTTGGTGACTTAAGGGGTTTTTTTGGCCTTCCAAAGCCCCCATGAAAGTGTAGCTATCTTAGGAAAGTGCAGTGTCTTAAAAATATGCTTCTGAAACTGGGTGTATCAGAAGGTACTCAAAGGCAACAGGGTAAAAACAGTGCGTCGTTTTGGAGGGTCAGGGTTACTTGTCAACTTGGAGGAAAAAAAAACTGTTAAGAGACTGGGTCTTGCTATGTTGCTGAGACTAGAGTGCAGTATTTATTCACAGGCGAGATCGTAGAGCACTACAGCCTCGAACTCCTGGGCTCAAGCAACCTTCCCACCTTAGATTCCTGAGTAGCTGGGACTACAGTTGTGTACCAAGGTGGGTTTCCCTACCACATCTGGCAGGGAAAACATTTGTATACAAAAATAGGCATAAATATGCTATAGAGCAGAGTACACCATTTACATGAAGATCAATACGAGACTTCCAAGAAATATTCTGGCTACAAAAGCCCCTTTAAGCTAAGTCCCAAATCCCCAGGAGAACAATTTTTTTTTTTTTTTGAGACAGAGTCTCGCTCTGTCACCAGGCTGGAGTGCGATCTCGGCTCACTGCAACCTCTGCCTCCCAGGTTCAAGCGATTCTCCTGCCTCAGCCTCCCGAGTAGCTGCGATTACAGGCGCACACCATCACACCCAGCTAATCTTTGTATTTTTAGTAGAGACAGCGTTTCACCATGTTTGCCAGGATGGTCTCAATCTCTTGACCTCGTGATCCACCCACCTCGGGCTCTTAAAGTGCTGGGATTACAGGCGTGAGCCACCGCGCCCCGCCCATGATACGCATCTTGACAGAGACAGGCCTAGCACAAGTCTGTGCATGTAAGTAACGCTTAGCAGGCTCTTGCCAGGTGCCTGGCACTGTGCTTGTTTAATCCTCCCAGTAGCGTTAGGACATTTCATATGTTTGGGCCCTGGGAAGGAACTGGGGAAAATGGTAGATTTTCTTCATATCTAGTGTTTTGTTTGATTCCCATAACAACTCTGCGAAATAGGCAGGAAGTGGCAGAGGCAGGAGTAGGGATTCCAGCCCAGGGCTGCATCCGTTCCCCACCTTCCCCACCCACTCCCCTGGCAACTGCGCCCAGCTTCTGGGACCCCCATCAGATAGAGATGTGTTGCGGGGATGGCTGTGCATTGCTTCAGAAGAGGAAGCGGTGAAGACCTGAAACATTGTGCCCAATTGTATTTTCTGATATCCTGCTCCTTCCTCCCCTGCAGGTTATTTGTCTAATGAGTCTCAGAGCTCTTAAGTGTTTCTGGGCCATCTAGTCATCCCCAGCTACTGGCAGCTGAGTAATCTGTGTACTTTTCCAATGGACTCTAATGCCAACTCCCTAAACTTAATAGAATAAAAGTGTGATCAGCTTTAATGACCAATTTATGCACAGTAATAGTCTGATGTGGCTGTATAAGTCAATTTGGGATTCTGGAGGGACTGTAACTTGAAGGTGTTAATTGCACTACCTTACTTCCGTTGACCAGACCCTCACACCTGCAGCTTGGAGCATCGTTCTCTGCCATTAGCACCACGGCAGCAATCCCGGCTAGCCTCCCGTTGTGTGCTGGCACATTTTACAGCCCAAATAAATGCAAGAGAACTGTTACACAAACATTTACTGCCTCAACTCCTTACCCCTCACTGAGATAACTTTTTAATATTTCCTCCCTGTGTGAACTGAGTATTTCCCCTTCTTCTTCTGTAATGGCTCTGAAAATCCCATATAGAATCCCCCGGATTCTAGCCTTAAACCCTCTGCTGGGCCAAATTTAAATCATTTGATTTCACTTAATGGTCAGTGAACATTCTTTTTGCAGTAAATGGTCCTACCGCTGTTTTTATTCACTTGTCTTCATCAGTTCTGTATTTCCACTTGTGGCTTACCATCAGAGCACTCTGTAGTCACTCATCTCTCCGGATTTTAGAGTCAGTGAGCACAGACCCTCAGAACCATGGAGTATGGGACTGATATTTTTAGTTGTTAGGTACTTTCTGAGCACTTCCTATGTGTCTGGCACTGTCCTAAACTGTGCTTTGAAGGCACCTAAGTCAAGTAACATGATCCCTTCTCCCTCCTCCCCTCAGTCACCGATGCTCATGTAGGGGAACTGAGGCAGGCCCACTTACCATTTCAGTATAGGGACCATGTGGGTGGCCCCAATATATGCAGTATATGTATCAGACAGACACGCATCTCTGTATCCTCTTAATACCATTCACATTGTAAGACCTGATGTCATTAGTTCTTTTCCCCCCAAGGGCCATAAAATTGTCATACTGGAATGGGTTTTTTTTAAATTTAATTCAAACTTCTGTCAAAGCAGACTATAAATTTGGTTTGTTTTGATTTCAAGTTTCCTGAAACTTGGCTCTTCAGATTGCCCCCCAGTTCTTTATTCTGTGGGTTTCCTGTGGGGTCTTTTCCATGGGGCTGATCCCACCTCACAGCTACATGCCTTACGGGAGGGCACCCCTCCCCTAGAATTTTCATCCTCTAGATTGGTGGACTTTGTGAAATAGACATGATGGTAACTGCTGTAATGGGGGCTTTGGTAAGGAACGCAGCAGAGGGCCACACAACAGGAGAATCCCGTGTTCTTGTTCTAGCCGCCGCATAGAGAATACGGCCTTTAGCACACAGAGCTCACACAGGGAGCTACATGGGGAGAAGCGTGTTTGTTCTGCGGCATGATAAGTGTGCCGCCAAAGCCTTCAAAGGGGCCACCAGAGGGAGCGTCAGCCGGACAAACAGACCTTCTGGAAAGTAGTTTTGCAAGATCCATCAGTAACCATCAAAATATTCATATCTGTTTATCCAACAATTCTACTTCTAGAAACCTTTTATAAGGAAAAAATCAGATTTAATAAAAGGTTATATATAAGAATGATAATCCTAGCATTAAGTGGAAACAGTCTAAATGTTCATCATATGGGAGTGATTAAATAGATTGTGATATATCTTTACAATGGAGTATTATACAGTTACTGAAAATATTCCTTAAAAGAACAGTTAATGATATAAGCATCATAATATGAAGTTAAAAAGCAAGTTATGCTATGATCCCACATGTAAATATTGTGTATATATACACCACGTTTTAAATCTATATGTGATTTAACAGACTAGACAAAAATACCAAACTATTAATAGCCACATATCCAAATGCAACTAAATATTTAGAGCAAGCTTGTCCAACCCACAGCCTGCGGGCCACGTGCAGTCCAGGATGGCTTTGAATGTGGCCCAACACAAATTCGTAAACTTAAAACATGAGATTTTTTTTTTTGCGATTTTTTTTTTTTCCTTTTAGCTCATCAGCTTTCGTTAGTGTTAGTGTATTTTATGTGTGGCCCAAGACAATTCTTCTTCTAGTGTGGCCCAGGGAAGCAAAAAGATTGGACACCCCTGATTTAAAGAGAGAAAGAACAGAATCTTTATAATTTCCTGTGTAGCTTTTTTAAACTTTGGAAACAGCTACAATAGGTACCTGTTAATTGCACCTCCCCAGGTGATAGGGACATTTTTTCCACTTGCCACGGGGCACAGATCACCCCCTTCTCTGCACCGGCCTTCGTTTCATTAGTCCTATGATCTCACATTAAAATTCTCATTGTGCATTCAAGTCAGTAAGGATTGGTTTAGCTGTGTGTAGCAAGAAACCCAAGTAACAGGAGCTTTTAAAAGATGGAGGTTTATTTTTCTCACACATAAAAGAAAGCTGGCAATAAGGCGTCCAGAGCTGGCATGGTGGCTCCATGGTCATCAAGCACTCAGTCTCCACCTTTCTGCCCCCCAGTCTTAGCGTGTAGCTCCCATATCAAACTTATCTTACAGTGCTAGATGGCTGCTGGTGTTCCAGCTATCAAGTTCATATTCCAGGCAGAACGGAGACAAACTGGAGGGCGGGCAGGCACTTGAGTGCCCCCAGTCTGAGGCAGCCCACTTCAAAGAACTGTCCTAGATGCTCCAGCCATGATGACAGCTGACACCTCATTGGCCACCTCTAGCTGCACAGGAGTCTGGAGAGTGTAAACTTCTAGATGTGCACTGACCCCATAAGGAAAATGGAGAGATGGATGCTGGGCAGGCCACAGTTATCTCATGTGGTTATCTCAAATTTTCATAACGTAGGCTCATAGTTATAGTGATGTGTAATTCGCATTATGAAGAAATCATTGATTAGCCAGGCATGGCGGCACATGCCTGTAATCCCAGCTACTTGGGAGGCTGAGGCAGGAGGATCACTTAAGCCCAGGAGTTCAAGACCAGCCTGGGCAACATAGTGAGAACCTGTCTCTAAAAAAAAAAAAAAGAGAGAGAGAAAAGAAAGGAAGAAATTGTTGGGACCTGGTAGAGGAGCAGCATTTTGGAGAAAGCACTGGACAGAGATCAGAAGATCTGGGGTTCATGTCTTTGTGTCTATATGGATTGATTTTTCTGGGCCTTCATTCTTCAACAAAAACTGAGGGCAGTGATTCTTACAGCATCCACCTGCAGCAGTCTTGAACTTGCAAGGGTGGGTCCCCCTTCAGGGCAGCACCCACGTATTCCTCTGGCTGCCCGTCTATAACTTCTGCCACTCCTCCTTCCAAGCTGGAATCACCTCTCACCTGCACTCTTTTTCTTTTAGATAACGGAATCTCGCTCTGTCACCCAGGCTGGAGTGCAGTGGCGTGATCTCAGCAACCTCCACCTCCCAGGTTCAAACCATTCTTCTGCCTCAGCCTCCTGAGTAGCTGGGATTATTGGCGCGTGCCACCATGGCCTATATATTTTTAGTAGAGACAGGGTTTCACCGTGTTGGTCAGGCTGGTCTCAGACTTGTGACCTCGTGATCCACCCGTCTCGACCTCCCGAAGTGCTGGAATTATAGGCGTAAGCCACTGCACCCATCCTCACCTGCACTCTTACTGGCCCCTTAACTGGGTCCCCTCGCCACAACTCTCCACCTCTTCTTCGCCTTGACCTGAAGACAAGGTGATCTTTTTAACCACAGATCTGGGTGGGTTGGTCCTCCATTTTTAACATTTTAGCAGCTTTCCATTCCCTCCAAGTGGAGCATGGCATCTGTGTTCTGGCCCTACCCCACTTCTCTTTTATTCTCTCTTCTCTGCCTTCTCCACCCCCATCCTCACCCTCACCCTTCTCTATCCACACTCAGCCCATTTCTGTCTCTGGCAGTCTCCACGTCCAATCGTGTCATGGGCTTCTTACCCTGCCCCAGCTCCAGCCTCTGGGCCTCTGAGCTCTTCCTCCCTTGAGGCTGTCTCCTCTGAGAAGTCTTCACTGACTCCCTAGGCTGAGTCACATCTTCTAGATCCCTCTAGTCCTGCGTGCCCTCCTCATGCTAGCACATTCCAGATGCTAGGTCATTTATCTCAGTTCTTGTCAGTTTTCCCTTCCTGACTCAGAGATTTCTGCAGCCATTGATCACATCTGAAAGTCTCACCCGCACAAGGTGCCTGGAGCAGGAGGTGCTCACTGCTTGTCTGCAGAATGACTCAGGGCTTGAGCTGCTCCTCCAGGGCTCCTTCAGGTTTTCTGGGTCTTTAAACACCTGTGCATTGTGTTCTGTGTATGCCTTTCACTTGTAGGAAAGAGCCCTGCCTGCCTGTCTGTCTTCGCGGCAGAGCCATTTGCTCTCAGTGCATTGGGCTCAGATTCCTTCGCTCGCTCGCTCATCACAGATCTGCTGAGCAGTGTTGTCTACCAGGACTGTGCGAGGCCCAGGGACACAGAAAGCAGTGTTCACCAGTCCTGCCTTTGAGGGGCTCTCAGGGGGGTGGAGAAGGGAAGACAGACATGAACTGGAGCACATGACCTCATAGGGACCACACACAGACCACACAGATGGCCCAGGTGGCTGCAAAGAGGAGCACGGGCTTCGCGAGCGTGCCGCCCAGGCTGCAGGCAGCGAACGGGTGGACAGAAGAGCGCCCTCCCTTCCGGAGGGGGCAGGAAGCCAGTCACCCCTCCTGCTACTGCAACACATTTCTCCCCTCCCTGTCTGCCACGACTGTCCCTTGGCCAGGTTCCCACCAGCGCCCTAGGGACTCCCATGCCATGTAGGTGCTGTACTGGTTGGGGATCTCACACATCTTTCTCTTGACTCTGGCCAGCTTTGTTGAGGGCCCAAAGACTGCTGGAGCTGCAAAGGACCATAAAGATCACCTAGAAGTTTCCAGACCTCATCCCACAGGCAAGGAACTGAGACGAGAGGAAGTGAAGAGTCTCACATGGCAAGTGGCAGAGCCACCCAAGCTGCAGCCCAGCTGTCCTGTTCCTCCTGCCCCCACCCATCCCAGGGCCTTTCCAGGGTGCCACCTTTCCTTCCAGAGTGCCAGAAGCAGAACATGTGGATCAACACGGGGTCATTCAGAGACCACGCGGCTGTCATTAGAGGCGTCCCAGATGGATCCCGGAGCCGTGGACAGTGCCTGTAATCACAGAAGCTGAGAGTTGGAAGGAATCCATCTGGTTCAGCCCTGGTCTAGCATATACCTTCCTTCTCCATCCTCACTTTCTGCTCCTCACGGGGACAGAGAACTCACAGCTTCCCAAGCCAGCCCATTGCATTTTTGAACAGGTTTCTTCTTATGCCGTCCCATAACTCCTGCCTGCTACTAAAGCCTTGAGAAGATGACGGTAAACTCTGTCAAGTACTCGTGAATGTCCGATTGTGGACACTTCTAGGACAGGTTCCTGGTGAATCCCCTGAGATCAATTAAATACAGAACAAGCTCCCAGGTAGCTGAACCATCCCAGCTGTTATACAAAACTGTTTGTATTAGCCTAGTTTTAATTATCCAAAAAGTAATGGTTCCCTTTTTTTTAAGGATCATTGGTATTCTAGCCTTTCTTTTCTCAATATCATTTGATAGTGGGTTCATCTATCTGTTGAGGTTAATATATGAAAACAAAACCATGTACTATTCAGGGTGGAGGACAATGCCAATCCTCCCCTTCTCTGTAGTAGGGTATAGATGGCTTCAGCTCACCCAGCAGCTATTTCAGGTTGTCCAGAAGGGAAGGCCAGAAAGTCCCTGTGCTGCATTCATCGTGACTGTACCGTAGCCCCTGAGAAAACCAGTGCGGCTCCTCACAGCCCTCAAGATGATTTCCGACCTTGCCACCTAAAGTGTGGCCCGTGGACCAGCAGCATCAGCATTACCTGCAGGTTGCGAGAAACGCAGCACCCCAGACCCTCCCCATCCACTTGCGTCCAAAGTCTTCTCTATATTAATGAGAGGAAAGGACGACTGAAGACACAGTAGCAAAGCTCATCACTGTGACTTGTTAGGAGCACTCATTCTCTACACCCCCTTCCCATAACTCCTACCTACCTCTTTTGGTTTTTAATTAGGACATTCACTTGCATTTAAAAATACCTGCAAGATCCCCCCATCCCCCATATCTCCACTGTCTACTTCTCGTTCTTCTTAGATGACGTGCTGCTCTCGCCTCTTCCTTCGCTTTCTCTTGCACCGCAACACTTAGTTATTATCCATGCCACGGACCTTCAAGATACCTCTGTGCAAGGGCAGACTGAAGACCGAGCAAATGGCATGGAAAACAGGACACCTCAGATGGACGGCGCGGCGGTCCTTGGTGACAGAGCACTGCTCTTTAACACATGCTGTAGTAATGACATGATCGCCTTCTGTCCGGGGCCTTCACTTCGAAATAGAGCACTAAGATCGGGGAGGAAAACCATGAGGATGTTGACCCCTGGCTGCTCTGTTTGCTTAAACAGCAGTTACTCACCCCGAATTACCCATAGATAGTGACCAACTGGTCTGAAATCCAGATAGAGTTGCTAATGATCAGCCCTTCCTTCACCCATTCCACTTGTTCTTAAAAATGTATCACTCAGGAAATGCTTTACAGAAAAACTGTGGCAAGACCCTTTGTTGCAGAGGAAAGACCTGCTCTAGCCCCAGAGGATGGCTCCAGCATCCACCTGGGACAGTGGAAACATTGGGCATTAAGACACTTAATAAAAAGGACACTTTAAAAAGAAGGGGGCAGGAAAGATAGAAGGCAGGAGGTGCAGGCACTCAGACAACTGCCCTCGACCCCACCCGGGATGGGCCACGGACAGGTGTCTGCATTGCCCTGAATGCAGCGCTTTTCCTACCCCAGCATAGACGGCGCCCATTTCTGCACTGTTCTAAAACCCCTTCCCTATGCGAGAATCAGTTCTAAGGGAAGGAAGCCCTCTTAGGAGAGGAGGTACTGGGCACACATCTGACAGCTCTGCCACCAGCAGGCAGGCGTCACCCAGCTCAGCACAGCCCCGAGTCCCAGGCTGCAGCCTCCTGTGCTGTTTCAGAGGGGAGGAATGGGTGTGTGGATCTCTGTAACTTCTCACAGTGAGGGAAACGGGGGTTGGATGGTGCTCTAGTGGCCGGCTTTGCCCCGCAGTGCAGTTGCCGGAAGGGAGCAGCCCTGGGATGGCCGACGTTTGTATTAGAAATGTTAGGAAATGTTCCTTCTGGCCTTTCCCAGGGGCTAGAGGGCCACGGTTCCTGACCTGTGTCCTTTCTTTGCCTTCAGGTCCACATTGGCCAACTGTATTCAACTGACAAGCTGATCATTGAGAATCGAGACATGCCCAGGACCTAGCAAGCCGGGGACCAGCCACCAGTGGCGGCCAGGGACCACCTTCAGCATCCACTCTCTGTTTGAGATGGGGGCTCCCAAAACCAGCTTACAATAGCCTTTTGCGCTGCCTGTCCTGTGGGAGCTGATAAACCAAGTCACATTTGCATTCTGTTGCAGGCTTAGTGAAAAAGGACTGCTGTCTTTCCTTGGTTCAAGTGTTAGAATGGAGAGCTGGAGTTCGTTCAGAATAGTGCTGTGTGTTACCACGTCTCCCCTGCACCCCATTCCTACCTTGTAGCTCATGACCATTGTGTATAGCATTTCTACACTTTGTTTCTTGGTCCTTGGCAATAAAAAGAATGATCTCCCTGAGCCTTTGACCCCAGATAAACCCCTCCCAATTAATGCATTTTCATTTCCTACTGATACAAGGCCTGGAGAGGGCTGTTGGGGGCCCTCAGGGAGGGTTCAACTCTGAGACGAGAACTGCCTTGGTGAAGGCAAGTTCAAGCACCACTTGAGACTGGGGGCAGCATGGAGTAGGGCAGGGCTACGGGGATACACGGTGCACCCTGCAACTTATACCTGAGCCCAGTACAACAAAGGTGACGGGTGTGTAGGTACACACCCAGAGATGGAGCACTGCAGATCAGCAACCTCAGCCCCACCTGGGAATTTGCTGGAAATGCAGGCTCAAGCCCCTCCCCACACCTGGTGAATGAGAGAGCCCCAGCCTGACCCAAGCCCAGGGCGACTCCCATACCCTGAAGCCTGGGGCATGCTGGGCAGCACCGGTGCCCAAATCTGGCTGGTGGACAGAAGCACCTGGAGAGTTGGAGAGCTTTTTAAAAAGACATCTCTCAGCACTTCCCTCTCTGCAGATTCTGACTCAGTAAGTGAGGGGTGAGGCACAGTCATTTTTCTCTATTCTGAAGCTCTCCCACTGTTTTCAATGTTTAACCAACTGGGGACCCCTGCTCTTTAAGTATATTACAGGTAATAAAGATATTGTTTGTATGCTTTTATTCTTGGAAACAGATTCATTCCAAACATAGAAAGAACATATTAAATAACTTGCTTGTCATCTGGGGAGTTTACGAGGGACCAGACCTGGCAGAGCGGTTTCTTGTTTCCCTTTGCATACAGTGCTCAGTGGATTTGGTATCTGTGGGTTAAGGTTTGGAACAGGCTCCTATAAATAGCACCGGTCCTGGAATAGCTGCAGCACTGTCACCCCCTCATTTTAACTCCGACGGTCATGGGAGTGAGTACGCACTGTCTGAGCCCGTGTTCTTCTCACCCTCATATGAGAACTCATGTCTTCCAGTCGCTTTTAGAGAGCATAGATTTGCTGCAATGATGCGTTCAAATAGATGTAACGTGTAGCCATTCTATTTGGCAGTACAACTTTTGATTTCAGGATAAAGTCTTTTTTTTTGAGATGGAGTCTCGCTCTGTCACCCAGGCTGGAGTGCAGCGGTGCGATCTTGGCTCACTGCAACCTCCACCTCCTGGGTTCAAGCCATTCTCCTGCCTCAGCCTCCCGAGTAGCTGGGATTACAGGGGCCTGCCACCACGCCCAGCTAATTTTTTGTATTTTTAATAGAGACGGGGTTTCACTATGTTGGCCAGGCTGGTCTTGAACTCCTCGGCCCCCCAAAGTGCTGGTATTACAGGCATGAACCACCACCCCCTGCCAATTTCAGGATAAAGTCCTGAGCATCTGTGAAAATAATGAAGCTCTTAGCAAGTCCCAGATCTCTTACCCTCTAACCAGTTCCTGCCTGGGAGCTGCAGTGTTAGAGCATATGCAAAGCCCTAATTGGGGGAGAGCTGTTCGGTGGACAGTGAACGGAGGTGATGTGGCAAGTATAATCACTCCCTTCAGCTGACTGTCACGGGGCAGAGCCGCCCAGCCCAGCCCTGTGTGTGGCTCTGGCTCAGGTTTTCCACCTTGCATCAGTGCAGTGGAGTTCGTGGTCACTCAGCAGTGAATGCATCCAACCACGCTACTAACGCACGGCACTGCTGATTTATACTTAATTTAAGCAACTGCTACTTGGAACCGAAGTCCAGATTTGAACCTCCGTGCTGAAGGCATCAAATTGCCGGCAAGATAACAGCTCCAGAGGAGACTTCTCCCACTCCCCCAGGTTTTACGCAATGAGGCAGTCCACCCAAACTTAACGTGGGCTGCAGGCTGTAACAGCAGGTTGCTTTTGTGTTCATTAAACTGCATGAATGGGTTTGAACATGCCCAAAGCCTTGCTAATGCAGACTTAATTTTGTAAAATTAACTATGCCTTTGGAATCTGCAGAAAGATACAAATCCGAATTCTGTGGCAGGAAACGCCACAAACAGGCCTTGGTCCTCCACCTTTCAGGTGTATATCTGGCAGGCAGAGCCTGGCACTGGGTACTCCCCAACTGAGATGACCCAATATTGATGCTAGAGCTTCGAATAAAGTGGCATTCCCATGGGGGTGACCCCTGGTGTTTCTCTAGGGAAGTATTCCACCTCCTTGACTATGCACCAACTGAGGGGAATGTGGGCAACTCCAACATCCATCATGGCCAGCCTCACAGAACTCTCTAGAACTTGTGCCTGCTTTGAAGATAGGATCCGGGCTGGGGTCTGGAGATCACTTTGCAGCACTAATATTGAGCAAATGAGAACTACTATCATTAGTTAACTTCCCAGGCAGAACTCATTGGCCGAGCAAGGCTATATCCTAGACTTTCAGAGACAGCTCTGGGCTGGGCTGGCTGTCATGACATAATAGCTGGGAGATCTTGCACGGCCAAGTACAGGGCTGTGTTGTTCTGATGGCTGTTGGAATCTGGATTTTGGAACTGAAAGAATTGGCTAGATTGCTTTAGGTATACTCCGTCCTGCTGCTAACTAAGTAGCAGTGACCTTTAACTCCCTTCATCCACAGCCTCTCCCGTTAATCTCAAGCCCCACCATACAACCCACCATCATCCAGGAGCAAAAGGGACAGGCAGAGGGTGAAGCCTACAAAGATGACAAACATCAGAGCTCACCTAGTCCAACCCTCAAATCTTCAGGTGTTAAAACAAAGAGCCTGAACATCTGCAGATCACGTACAGAGTCAGGGCCTTTCCCCTAAACCCCTTTCACTCATTCATTTATTCACTCAGTATTGACTAAGGCCACCTAGTGCCAGGTGCCAGGTGCCAGGGAGCAACCAGTGAACAAGACAGACGTACCTTCATAAAGCCTGTGTCTAGCAGGGAAATCTGAGAAGAAAATGACAAGTCTTATGAATGTTACAAAGAGGGAAATATGAGTGCTGCCAGAGCCGATGGGACGGGCCAGGGAAGGGCTCCCCAGGGGATATTTACACGTGCAAATTAATGATGAGGATTGGCTGTGTGAAGGTGGGGAGAGGAGCTCTCTAGGCAGGAGGAACAGCACATGCAAAGCCCTTAATTGGGGGAGAGGGTAGTTCCATGCAAAGAACTAAAGGGAGTCTGGGATGGTGGCAGCCAAGGAAGAGGGCTCTTTCCACATCGTGGACGGCCTTGGAGCCTCAGCCTAAGGATGGTGAGCAACTCGGGAGTTTTTAGGCAAGATGAGGTTTTTGTTTTGTTTTGTTTTGTTTTTTTGAGACAGAGTCTCGCTCTGTTGCCCAGGCTGGAGTGCAGTGGCATAATCTCAGCTCACTACAACCTCTGCCTCCCGGGTTCAAGCAATTCTCCTGCCTCAGCCTCCTGAGTAGCTGGGACTACAGGCGCACGCCACCATGCCCAGCTAAGTTTTATATTTTTTAGTAGACACAGGATTTCGCCATGTTGGCCAGGCTGCTCTTGAACTCCTGACCCCAGATGATCCGCCTGCCTCGGCCTCCCAAAGTGCTGGGATTACAGGCGTGAGCCACCGCCCCCGACCGAAGTTTGTATTTTTTAAAAGGTCACATTGTCTGCTTTTGAGGGGATACACTGGGAGAGATGCAGGGAGACCAGCTTTTCGGAGGAGTGGGGGATTGGGTGTGGCATTCCAGGCAAGCGATGGTGACTTCACCAAGAGGCAACAGCTGAACAGAAGCAGAGTCAGCATCACCCTGAGAACTGGCTGGGGTGGGCCGCCATTGAAGGAGGACAGGAAACCTGGAGCAGAGCTGCCCCAGCTGAGCACAGCCCGAGCTCCCCAGCCCACCTGCCGATGCGCGAGAAAGTCCACAGAGTCCCCTAGCCTGGTCTAGCTTAGGTCAGTCATATTCAGCCACCCCTCAGACATGTGCTAAATAATTAACTGTTACATTAGTCACTGAGTTTGGAGGTAGATTATTATGAAGTAACAGCAAACTAATACAGAGAGCATCTCTGTATTAATGTATTAATGTATTACTTTCTCAGGGCCACATAGCAAACCAAAGAGTAGGCAGACAAACGGCCAAAACTGCAGGTCTCCTGTATGGGGACATTTCCACAAATATCTTCAGAATACTGGTCACTCCCTTTAGAGAACAAGTCCTGGAGAAACAGTCGAAACAGTCATCACGTGTCCTACAGATGGAAGGGCTGGCCAACCAGAAAGAAAAGAAAAAGTCGAGTCAGCAGAACTTGGTGATTGATTGGATGAGGAGACCAGGCCTGAGGGCTGCAGGGAGTCTAGGAGGAGTCTCAGGAGCAGGGCCTGAGGAACTAAGAAGGGGCTCTGGCTGAGACCAGACAGGAGCAGCCACTGTCTGGAATTTTGTCCCCACTGCTGACTTCGAACAACCTCAACTTCAAACAGAAAGCCCAGACTCGATGAATTTATCTTTTCTTCAAAGTAGAGAAAGGGTAGCTCTTTTCTTCCCAGGAAATTGTTTATCCATTTAATAATTTTTAAAAATCACTGGAGTTGGGTGTGGTGGCTCATACCTGGTAATCTCAGCACTTTGAGAGGCCGAAGTGGGCAGATCACTTGAGCTCAGGAGTTCGAGACCAGCCTGGGCAACATAGTGAAACCCTGTCTATACAGAAAATACAAAAATTAGCTGGGTGTGGTGGCATGCAACTGTTGTCCTAGCTACTCTGGAGCCTGAGGTGGGAGGATCACTTGAGCCTGGAAGGCGGAGGTTGCAGTGAGCCATGATCGCACCACTGCACTCCAGCCTGGATGACAGAGTGATACCCTGTCTAAAAAAAAAAAAATAACTGGGATAAAACAACTCGAAAGACCCTTATAAAGATTTTACCCGTAACTCTGTAGAGCAAATAACTTCCTGCTTTAGGCAAAGCTCTTTGTGTGTAAGTTCGATTGGAAGAGGAGGGCTGGTGGGGGGAGATTCTCTACTTTGGTCATGAGATTAACATTAAAAGTTTGAGGAAGGTTGCTCTATATATTGGCTGCCTGTTTCTAAGACTGAAAATAAAAGCACAGTAAAATATCAACAAGTATACAGAAAATATACATTTGTAGAAAATTAGCTTTTTTTTTTTTTTTTGCTAAGTACTTCATATAAACTAGTATTTGCTTTCTAGATTAAAGAATATCTCCTCCAGGTGTGGTGGCTCACACCTGTAATCCCAGCACTTTGGGAAGCCGAGGTGGATGGACCACGATGTCAGGAGTTCAAGACCAGCCTGGCCAACATGGTGAAACCCCATCTCTCCTAAAGATACAAAAAAAATTAGCCAGGCGTGGCAGTGGGCGCCTGTAATCCCAGCTACTCAGGAGACTGAGGCAGAGAATTGCTTGAAGCCAGAGGCAGAGGTTGCAATGAGCCGGGATCACGCCACTGAACTCCAGCCTGGGTGACAGAGTGAGACTCTTGTCTCAAAAAAAAAAAAAAAAAAAAAAATATCTCAGATATTGAAGCGAACCTATAAATAACAGCAGAAGCTGAAGAAAAGATAACGGATCAAAAAGCAGAAGGAGAAAGCTTCCCTGTCCCCAAGGACCTGCCCACAGTCGTGGATGAGAAGTCCCTTGATAAGTAGGGTCTGAACCCACGTGATCAAATGTTAGCTCTGTGAACCTGTGCCAGTGGCTGTGTGTCAGTAGCCCAGGGTGATTCAGAAGCTCCATGAAGCAGCCATCTTTCCTGGATCTCTGGAATGTACACATTTGCTGAGATCACAAAGATGAAGCTGGCAGAACCCGAGTGGATATTCATTATTACGAACAGAAGAACAGCCAACAGGAGCCGTGCCATGTGCAACCCCGAGTTGACAGATGCCTCCCCGCTTCTTCTGTGTTTGCCAGTTGTTACAAAATGATCTAGAGAAAAACTGGAACTTGATGGAGAAAGCAATGGCTTACGATTCAGCAGGCTTTCTTGGAGAGTTTACCTAAAGTCTATGTGGACGGTGGCTCAGCTCACCTCTGAGAACAATACGATCTTCACTTTTCAATCTTTCTGCAGCTCTAATTAGTGCCACAGGGAACCATGGATGAAAATGGCTTCTCGTGTTGATATCCATTTGGGGAATAGGATGGATGCAGCTGCTTTTGCTCAAGGGCAGAGTTTTGACTTCAAAGACCCTGAAGAGAACCCAGAAGGAAAACTCTCAGAGGTCAATGGACTATATTCTTTACCTGGGGGATCGTTGACACCACAGCAGTAAAAGCGAAGTCAGTGTCGTGCTGTCTTGAAATTAGATGACAAGAATGACTGACACCAATAGAGCTGGAACTGCACTTGGAGCCTGAGTAGCCGGTCTCAGGCTAACCACACCTGTGCTGACCACAGCGTGGCCCGTGTTGTTCATGAGGCATTCTGGCTGTACCTCCACAGGGATGCAAGACTTCCAGTGAGAGGCTGCTTCTGCAAGAAAATACCTGCCTAGAAATGGTCCGCTTTCTCTTCCTAATAAAGTGATAAGCTTTCTTAGTCCAATGGTACTAAATAGAAACCTTTTTCTTCCATCAGCCAGAGAGGTACTTTATTTCCTTTGTTTGGGAGTGTCAGTTAAATATTGTTGAAACATTTCACTAGAACTTCCTGTCAGTTACCTAGTGAATTCATGTGACTTCATCAGTCTTGAATACAGAGACCGTTTAATAACAATACAATTGGTTCTAGTCTTAAAGGAGCATTTCATTTACATGCACATGTGTGATTTGCACAGCACATACAGGATGTATGACCAAGGACTACAATGCTGAGGCTAAGAGTCTTGTCAAGAATTGCCAAAGACACTCTTCCATTCATATTTCAAGCATGTAATGTGTTTAAAATTATTAATTTGCCAAGTTTAGCATACATTAACATACTTAAAACATAACCAACACTTCCTTGTGGTTCTGTATAAATAGAAGCTTGTCCAAAGTAGAGAAAGGGTAGCTCAATAGCTCAAACTACTGAAAATATAAAACATGTCTTTAAAAAAAAAATCAGGCCAGGTGCAATGGCTCACACCTTTAATCCCAACACTTTGGAAGGACGAAGCAAGAGGACTGCTTGAGGCCAGGAGTTCAAGACCAGCCTAGGCAACATAACTCTCCAAAAAAAAAAAAAAAAGAAAGCATTAGTTGGATGTAGTGTTTTCGTGTTTTGCCTGTAGTCCCAACTAATCGGGAGGCTGAGGCAGGAGGACCACTTGAGCCCAGGAGGTCAAGTGAGCCATGATTGCACCACTGCACTCTAGGCTAGGGGACAGAGTGAAAAAAAAGAGAGAGGGAAAGATAAAATGGTGTGGTGGTAGTTTTGAGGATGGTGAAAAGAAACTAGTCACTGGATGGGACAGTCTGAGCTGGTGAATGTCTTCATGTACGAGGGACTCTAACCCCAGCCCAGCCACTAGCTGGCTGTGTGATGTTGCCTGAATCCTGGTTCATAGAGGCTTCTTGTTGAGAAAATAAGAGCAGGTCAACTATATGCAGCCCCCAGGTATGGACATCCTAGAAAGTCATTCATTCCTTCATCTTCCAGCCCTGCCACTTCCTGGTGGTGAGATCCTGAGCAAGTAGCTTCACCAAATTTCTGTTTCCTCATTCATAAAAATGAGTTAATCAAATACCTACTTTGCAGGGTTGCTATAAGGATTTTCAGTGCGTAACACAAAGTTCTTTCACGAGGTTTAATACACAGTAAGCAATAACTATTAGCTCCTCTGTCATTCCTTCTAGAAACTGCCAGATACCTTAGGGGATGAAGAAATGGACCAAACATGGATTCATCCCTTAATCACAGAACGTTTTGCGTTGTCCTTAAGACATGTATGTAAATAGCTGTACGAGTTCTGTAAATTCCCTGGGAGAGGCACAGATAAAATAGGGCTGGAAGAGGGAGGGAGTAATATTCAGAAGGAGGAACTACTTCTACCTGAGCCATAAATGCTAGGATAAGGGGTGTGGGGGTTATGTGGTGGGGAAGGGAGCTGCTATGCAAGGGAACAGCGATGTACGGCAGCGATGTGCAGTGGAGCAGCTAGGGAGAGATACACAGAGTGGCCACTGAGAGGGTAGGGAGACCAGCTAGGGCCCTGTGGCAGGCACGGAGACGTAAGGGGACTAGGGGCTGGCAGAGGACGGGGCAGTGTCTGTGTGGGTCAGATGGAGAAGAAAGAATGAATCCAAAAGGCATTTCCAAATGATGGACTTGATGAGCAATGGAGACACAGAATAAAGGATGGGGGCGAAGCAAAGATAACACCAGCACTTTGATCCTGAAAGACTGGCAGGGGGACTGCCCCTCACTGAAATAAGAGGCAACAGCACATCCCCTTAACAGGAACACACGTCCACAGGCCCACACCTCACTCATCGCTGTATGCCTGTGTTTTGCAGAGTCCTGGTTGCAGTAGAGACATTGGGGGTGTCAGCCAAGCTCACAGGAACCCCTTTTGATCCCTCACAACAGGAGTTGGGGGTTCTTGACCACCATTTTGCATCATGACCCCACCCCCACCTCTAACCACAGCTGATGGAACTGGGATGACACCTGTCCCCAAGTAGGCGAAGTACTTTCTCTTAGAACTAGGAGTGAGAGCTGCTGTTTCTGTCTGGGATTCTTGCTGGAGCTCAAGTGACACAGGCCTGGGAGGTCCAGAGCAGTCATCTTCCATCCATCATGTAGACAGGGGAGAAGAGAAATCCGCTCTGGAAGGAGAGACGTATGCAACCTCAGAGAGCAGAGATGAGGCAGGGACCGTTCCTGCTGGTTCCAGGGCTCCATACGTCCTGGCTTCCAGGCCCTGGAGAGGCCCCATGGCCCTTAGATTCCAGGCAAGAACCCAGCATCCATGAGCCAACTCCCCTCCTTGCTGACGCTGGCTTGTATCAGTTTCTGTAACTTGCAGTTTGGCACATGCTGGGTTTTATTGAAATATGGAGCCATATTGAGGCCTGCAAGAGGTAAGTTCCCATTTTTTAGTAGGTAAGTTCCCTACTGAGAAGGGGACCGCGTCCTGCTGAGTCCTGCAGAAGAGCCACGACAGGTCCAAGATGGTAAAGAGAGGGACACTGGCCTCTGGTCCAGACATTGACAGGTCTAAATGTCTAGGGCTGCATCCTGAGGAGAGACCAAGGAGGAGAGGAGGCACCCAAGCAAAATGTCCTTCCTGTGGATCAAGTGCAGATACGCTGTCTTCTCTGTGTGTGTATTTGTTTGATGAGTAGATGGTTCAGAGCAGTGGATCTGGGTCAGATTGACCTGGGTTCAAATCCAAGCTCAGGCTCTTACTTCCTGGCACATGACTCAACCTTTCTGACAGTCAATTTCTTCAGCTGTAAACTAGGAGTGATGTGCCAGGTGCGGTGACTCACACCTGTAATCCCAGCAACTCAGGAAGCCAAGGTGGGAGGATTGCTCGAGGCCAGGAGTTCAAGGCCAGCCTGGGCAACATAGCAAGACCCCATCTCAAAACAAAAGAAATAAAAAATATGAAGATCATAGAGACAGAATGTCATCCTGATAATTGACATAGGCTACAAGGAACAACATTAGAGTCAAAATTGGTTCTATCCCAGCACTTTGGGAGGCCAAGGCAGGAGGATCACTTGAGCACAGTAATTCAAGATCAGCTTGGGCAATATAGTGAGGCCTCATCGCTATAAAATATAGATAGATAGATAGATAGATAGATAGATAGATAGAGAAATAGATTTTTTTTTTAATTAGCCGAGTGTGGTGGCACGTGCTATAGTGGTCCCAGCTACTCGGGAGGCTGAGCTAGGAAGATCGCTTGAGCCCAGGAGGTGGAGGTTGCAGTGAGCCGAGATCATGCCTCTGCACTCCAGCCTGGGTAACAGAGTGAGACCCTGTCTTTAAAAAAAAAAAAATTATATAAGTATATACCTTCAACTAACCCCTTCAAATCCAAGGGAAACATGAGTCTGCAAAGCAGATGCACTGCCCAGATTGTAGCCCCCACTGGTACAAGAAGAGAGACAAGAAAGCCGTGACCCACCCACCCTCAGAACCTCTGAGAGATGCGCTTATGCCACCAGTCAGTGTGGACAATGGCTGTCACCCACCAAGCGGGTCACTGTGAGCAGCACTGGGGGTGTTGGTGGAGGGGAAGAGACCACAAATATGGGAAAAGTCCTCTCGGCAACCAGATGTGAAGAATAGGTGTTCCTCCAGCCCACTCCCCATCTGAGAGTTAGGATTGAGTAAAGTCATCCAGGAAAGTGGCATCACATCCTATGAGTACCTAACCAAGTGGAAAGCAGCCATTCCCCTCAGCAAGGGAGAGACACAGTTGGCAAGTGAGAACACCAGGGGTTCTGCCCGCCATGGTACTGATGGGTGTGTGCCTCGGGTGATGTAAGATGAGGCGCGTGGACGTGTACCTCCCTCACCCGGTTCTGCCCACCCTGCCTCAGATGGGCTGTTGCAGCATGCATTGTTTCCAGCTTTTGACTATGACAGATAATGCCACCGTCAATATTCTTGTGCGTGTCTCCTGGTGCTCGTGTGTACACACTCCTGTACCTAGGTGGAATTTCGGATCATGGGGTTGTTCTGGTTCAGGAGATACTGCCAAACAGGTTTGCATAGGGACAGGCCCACTCCGAGGGTATGTGTAAATGGGTTTGCTCATGAGAATGGCATTGATGTGAAGCGGGGATCTCTGGGCCAAGCCTAGGATGAGAAGCAGCTCTCTGCTGTGGGCAGCCTGCAGCCAAAGGCAGCCTGGCCCTACATCACTCCCGAGCAGAGCAGAGCCACGTGCCTGCTGGGCCTGCCCTACCAGAGACTCACAGTGCCAACTTTGGGGAGGCTGAGGGTCCATCTGAATGAAGAAAATGCCATTTCCTTACATGTGTGGAGCTGGCTGGGTTCGGAACGGAGCAGGATGTGTAAGCGCAGAGACTATCTGTAGATGTAGGCGTGGAGTTGTCCGTATAAATTAAGGTCCAAGCTGGGTGCAGTGGTGCACCCCTGTAGTCCCAGCCACTCAGGAAGCCAAGGCAGGAGGACTCTGCCTGTCCCAGGAGTTCAAGGCCAAGCTGGGCAACATAGCAAGATCCTATCTCTAAAAAGAATTTTTTTTGTATAAAAACACACACCAAACAAAAAGAACAGACACCAAACAGGAGGCCCCTCAAGAGTAGCTGCTTTAGATCGGGTGGATAATCTCTGAAGAGGCTGTTGTAAGGAAACGCAGTGTATGTAAGTGATATTAGTGTATGTACAGCATGTGTATGATGTCGTAACAATGTGCATGCTTAATACACATCTGCGGTGGTTTGAATATTTGTCTCCCTTCATTGCTCCTGTTGAAACTGAATCCCAAAGTGGCAGTATTGAGAGAATGGGCCTTTAAGAGGTGATTGGGTCGTGCAGGCTCTGCCATCATGAATAGATTAATCCATTAATATATTAATTTATTGGCCGGGTACAGTGGCTCTTGCCTCTAATCCCAGCACTTTAGAAGGCTGAGGCAGGAGGATTCCTTGAGCTCAGGAATTAGAGACCAGCCTGGACAACATAGTGAGATGCCATCTCTACAAAAAATCAACAAAAATGATCCAGGTGCGGTGGCTCATGCCTGTAGTCCCAGCTACTTAGGAGGCTGGGGCTGGAGGCTGGAGGATCACTTTAGCCCATCACTTTAGCTGCCATGAGCCATAATCGTGCCACTGCACTCCAGCCTGGGTGACAGAACAAGACCCTGTCTCAAACATATAGGTATATTAGACTGGTGGCTGCCATGAGCCATGATCGTGCCACTGCACTCCAGCCTGGGTGACAGAACAAGACCCTGTCTCAAACATATAGATATATTAGACTGTTGGCTTTCTAAGAAGAGGGAGAGAAACCTGAGCAAGCCTGCTCGGCCCCCTCACCATGTGACGCTCTGCGTCACCTCAGAATTCTGCAGAGAGTCTCCACCAGCAAGAAGGCCCTCACCGCATGCAGCTCCTTCACCTTGGACTCCACAGTCTCCATAACTATAAGACATGAATTCCCTTTCTTTATAAATTATCCAGTTCCAAGTATTCTGTTATAAGCAACAGAAAACAAACTAAGAGCGTCCCACCATGTGGACAAGAAGCAAATGGATACTTTCTGCCCAGGTAACAAAAACAGTTTGTCTGGTTAGCACACTCAGGGCTACTATCATTTGTTCTCCCAACTGGAAGATTCAGTTATGCTTCCTACATTCAGCTGGAGCCAGACAGTGTTTATCCTCAGAATAAAATCAGCAAAAACCAAACTGGCAGAGGCCAGAGGGAAAAGAGAAAGATGTTGAGACCAACGGCTTGCTTGGCACTTCACAACTAACTTCCCTCAGTGCTCACAACAATCTATATTAGGCAGGAGTTACCGCCCCTATTTTGCAAGCATGAAAACTCACTCACACTATTTTAAGGGTCTTATCTGAAAGCACTTGGCTAGCCAGGGGTGAGCTGGTGGCAACTGCAGGCCTGGCTGTCCTAGAGCCAGTGTCTCATCCCCACACAGGCCACCTCCCCCATAGCTAAGGGTACTTCTTCACCAATGCTTTATACACTTCTCAGTGGTAGGGTTGGATTTTTGTGTTTGTTTTTTTGAAACAGTCTTGCTCTGTCACCAGACTGGAGTGCAGTGAAATGATCATAACTCACTGTGGCCTCTACCTCCCAGGCTCAAGCAATCCTCCTACCTCAGCCTCTCAAGTAGCTGGGGCTACAGGTGTGCGCCACTACAACCAGCTAATTTTTAAATTTTTTGTAGATATAGGGTCTCACTATGTTGTCCTGGCTGGTCTCAAACTCCTGGCCTCAAGCAATCCTCCCACCTCAGTTTCCCAAAGTGCTGAGATTACAGGCATGAGCTACTGCACCCACCTAGTGGCAGTTTCTTTGTTTAGTTTTTATTATTGTAACTCTTATTGTGAAATGGTTTAAAACTCACAAGAAATTGCAGAAATAGCACACAGAGATCCCATATCCCCTTCACGCAGCTTTCCACAATGAAAATGTCTTCCGTAATCATAGTACATTGTCAAAATCAGGAAATCTACTTTGGCATAATACTCGGGGTTTGTTTTGTTTTGTTTTTTGTTTTTTGTTTTTTTGAGATGGAGACTCACTCTGTCACCCAGGCTGTAGTGCAGTTGTGCGATCTCGGCTCACTGCAACCTCCACCTCCTGGGCTTAAGCGATTCTCCTGCCTCAGCCTCCCGAATAGCTGGGACGGCAGGGGTGAGCCACCACGCCTGGCTAATTTTTGTATTTTTAGTAGAGATGAGGTTTCACCATGTTGGCCAGGCTGGCTTCGAACTCCTGACTTCAAATGACCCACCTGCCTCTCGGCCTTCCAAAGTGCTGGGATTATAGGTGTGAGCCACCACGCCCAGCCAATACTCAGGGTTTTTAACCTCAGCAGTGAGGTTTGTTAAGGATATCCTAAAGCTGTCTCCTTACATATTTTAAGTGTGGCCTAAAGGTTTTTCTGTACATAGTGAACTGTAACCTAACTGGATATGTAAACAGACTGTAACCTACATTTGTGCCAATCATTGAGTTTCAGCCAATCACAGGCAGCCAACTGTTGAAATCAGCTTTAAATAAGGCAATAAGCTGTAACCAATCCGGTTGTTTCTGTACCTCACTTCCATTTTCTGTATGTCACTTGGCTTTTTCTGTTCATGAATCTTCTTCTACCACTTGGTTGCACCGGAAGCCTCTCTGAATCTATTCTAGTTCGCAGGCTGCCTGACTCATGAATAGTTCTTTGCTTGGTTAAACTCTGTTAAATTTAGTTTGTCTAAGGTTTTTCCTGTAACAGGTTTAGGTCAAATAATTCTTTATTATGAGGATCTGTTTAGCAGCACCCAGGGGCTCTACCACTAGATGCCAGAATCACACCCTCTCCCCGATTGTGAGCACCAAAAAATGTTCGTAGACATAGTGATCACTTTTATTTTAAATCTTTAATAGATATATAATAGTTGTACATATTTGGGGCTACATGTGCTATTTTGATACCTGTACATGTGTGATGATCATATCAGGGTAACTGGGCTATCCATCATCTCGAACGATTATCTTGGTGTTGAAAACATTACAAATTTTCTCTTCTGGCTACTTTTAAATACACAGTAAATTACTGTGAACTATACTTTCCCTCCAGTACTACCACATATTAAACATATTCCTTCTATCTAACTGTATATTTGTACCCATTAACCAACTCCTCTTCATCCCCCTTCCCCTTCAGCGATCCCTTTTAAAGTACTACATCGCTTACATTCTGTATTCAAATCAGGGCTTTGGTTCCACAATTTGTAGGTGTAATACATACAGAAACACCACCATACAGTCATGCAGCAACAAAAAGTACAAGAAAATCCTCAGAATTGAACAGACATTTTCAAGCCACAAGGATAGAATTACCCTGTTTAAAAACCAAGAAGACATCTGAAGGCTGGGCTTGGACTGCAGTAGTTCTCAGTGTAAATAAACACTGCCAAAACCACATTCACAGAAATCTGTTAGTCATCCCTAATATTCCACCAGGCACGTTGCTCAAGCAAATGTTTCTTCTAATTTGTTGTTTTGTTTTTGTTAAGAAATAGGATCTCACTCTATCATCCAGGCTGGAGTCCAGTGGTGCCATCATAGTTCACTGCAGCCTCAAAGTCCTTGGCTCAAGCGATCCTCCTACCTAAGCCTCCTGAGTAGCTTGGACTACGGGTGTGTGCCATCAGGCCTGGCTAATTTTTAAAATTTTTTTATAGAGATGAGATCTTGCTTTGTTCTCCGGGCTTGTCTTGAACTCCTGGCCTCAAATGAACCTCCTGCCTCAGCCTCCCAAAGTGCTGGGGTTACAGGCATGAGCCACTGCACCTGGCCTCAAGCAAATCTTAAAACAGAGGTAAATGAGGTTTTTTTCTTTCACATTACTAGAAGGAACTGTTTAAAATTCCACATAATCACATTAAAATACACCATCCACAATAGTGGCTCATTCTTGCCACTGCTGTGTAGCTGATAAAGGAGCACTCAGCCCTATCTGGTTTCAGTTAAGTCAGACACTTTGGCCCAAGTCCCAAGAACCAACCTAGTCGGGGTTGGGGGCCTCATCAGGCCCACTGGCAAGTCAGGACCCTGCACAGGCAGCATCCCTAGAAAGCTGAGGGACTCCAGACACACACCTGGCGAGGCTACATTGCATTTTCAGACCCTGAAGAAATGACTTGGACATTTCAGTGATATTACAATGGTGGTCGATGGACTATTACTCACAAGGAAGCCATTGCACATGAAATTGGGTCTCCCTTGCCCTACAGTCCCAAACCTCTGCCAGCACGTAATGGTTAATGGACCACAGGCATCCACTGTTGCCTCTCATGCGTGTGCCTACAGAGAATGGGGCCAAATTGTTATAGAAACCCTTGGATCTAACAAATCTAACCAGATAGTACAGACTCCTTTTAAAAAGTTTTTTTGTAAAGTGGCAAATTATAGCTGGGTATACCAGACTCATTTTGTAAGATTTTCTGAACCAACTGGACATGGCAGAGTCTAAAGTGAAGGCTCAGAAAACTCTGCCTTTGACTTTGAAGCAGCCATCCGGGCACTTCTGCCCAGGCCAGAGTCAGCAGAGGCCAGGGAGGACAAGCCACAGCCTGGGCTTGGAGCCCCAAGGCAGGCGTTCCATCCCCCTCCACTGTCACATGCTCTAGATAGTGATGGGTCATGCCAGGCAGGGACAGCCCCTGGCCTCAGAACTTAATATTTTTACAATACATCTCAAAGGCATCATTTTCTCTGCCAGAAAACAAAAAACAAAAAAACAAACAAAAAGCAGTCTTCCAGGGCTCATTGCACCAATACATAAATTCATCTTTAATTACTTTGGTAAACAGCACAATCCAAAATAACTCAGGATTCTGGTTACAAAAGCAACATCTAGTTCAGGTGGGGTTTTTTGGGAGGGGTTGCGGGTGGGGGACTCACAGACCTTTCTAAATGTGTACTAAGTTATTTTATTTCCAAAGAACATATTGTGTGTTTCATTGTTAACACTTGTCTGCAATTTAATACCCAAGTATATTCACAGATATCGTGGGGACCTTCACACCCAGTTGGATCTATGCTTTTACAATCCTAATGCAGCAAATAGAAACTTACTAATCTTAGGTTCTGCACCTAATGGTGATCCGAGCGTCACAGGGGCTCTGGGTTTGCTGGCTGAAAAATGCAATTTAAAAAAATGCCTGAAGTCTGTGCACATAAACACGACTGCTGCTTCACCAGACTGAAAGGAACACAAACAGAATGCCTCAACCTACTTACAGTGGTTCTGAACATAAACTGACTGAATTTTTTTTTGAGACGGAGTCTCTGTCTGTCGCCCAGGCCAGAGCGCAGTGGCACGATCTCGGCTCACTGCAACCTCTGCTTCCCGGGTTCAAGGGATTGTTCTGCCTCAGCCTCCCTGGTAGCTGGGACTACAGGTGTGCACCACCACGCCTAGCTAATTTTTTTTTTTTCATATTTTTAGTAGAGAAAGGGTTTCACCATATTGGCCAAGCTGTTCTCGAACTCCTGACCTCATGATCCGCCTGCCTCAGCCTCCGAAAGTGCTGGGATTACAGGCGTGAGCCACCACACCCGGCCATTTTTTAAAAATAATGTAAAACGTATGGGAAGAAAAAGTTTCTGGGAAATAGTGAGCTCTTTCACCTACTAAGGGTTTAAAAAGATGCTGCCTCACCTGCACCAGAACAACCTCCTGATGACAAGGGTTCTTTACCCAAAGCTGTCAAGGGAGGAGCTGAAACTGCACATCCTCAGACCACAGCAAGGCAATCCCTTTAAGGGCTGTTAGTTTCCCAGGAACATAAAATTCTCATCTGCCAGAGTGGACGCTTCCTCAACCTGACCCAAGAGTAGCTACTTGTAGAAAAACCATCTGCAGGATGTGTTCATGAAATTTTCAACTTAAAGATGAAATGTTTCAAGCTTAGTTCATGAAATCTGTCTGCCCCACTCCTAATTCATCCAGATTTTCAGACTGAATTTCCTATTTCCAGCTATGTTAGTATGCTGTCGACTCTGTGGGAAATGACCTCAGGTAACAAGTTTCAAAGAACAGGACTTGACCAGTGACAACGATGGGAATGGGAGGAGTAACTACAATCGGAGAAATTATACCAGCCCAATTTCCTTAAATGTCTTATAAGTCACTTGAAAATGGCTTTGCCTTACCAGAAAAGTTTGCATATGTATATGCGTGGTTTGTATAAATGTGGAGTTTCTGGTTGAACTTGCTCTGAACTCATGACTTACTTAAATAGCCTTTTACTACTCCATTGATCTCACCTATTTGATTCCTCTAGTACCAACTCAGTAGGAAAATCTCACCAGCAAATCTTAAAAGGAAGCCCTTGATCTTTGCCATCTCAAACATCTTCATTTAGCTGACATGTGCCTCTGTTCTTTCCAAAAGTTTCCTGTTCACAGTTAACCAAAGTCAAAGAACTAAACTTCACAAAAAGCAAATGCAATGTCTACCAAAAAGATTCAAAAGAGTTGAAATCTGAATGCGCCTGAAGTTACGGTATTTAGCACTCTGACAATCAGACCTTGAAGGATTTAAGGATCAGTGACCGCTGCGTTCTGATGTCACCTCCCTGATCAGCTAAAGGGAGTCCAAAGAGGAACACAACAGTTCACAAGGTGGAAGGTGTCTATTTTGTGGTCTGGAAGCAAAAAACAGTGTGTCCCAGGTTTCCAAGCACCTGCCCACTTACACTCAAGACAGCCAGGACCACTCTGTAGGAGGGGAGGCCGGGACACTGCAATGAGCCCGGATTGTCAGCTGTTCCCAGCCCCTTGCCTTAGTGACTTCAGGCAGCACATCCCTGATTCCAGGAGTCCATCGGGTCCTGGCATCTTGGGGACTGGCTGGACAAACGCTGGACTGCAAATAATCCGTGTTGCCAGTTGAGTTTCCACAAGTCACAGCATATTCTTTTAATCTACAAACCTGGGTCCTATTGTGTGAACCAAAAATGCAAGTTTGATTCAGTTCCATGATGCCATTAATAAAAAAAAAGAAATCACATTTCCTCTCTAGGGCTGTTCCTTACACTCCTGATAAAGAACACATGGCACCAATCACTCTGCCCCACAAGGCTCCAAGCCACAGTGCTCCAAAGAAACACAGAACTGAGTAGGGGAATGAAAGATCTTAGCCTACTAAAATAGAAACCGTTGTGCTAGAAAGCTGAAATATGGAAACCTGTGAAATGACGTATGAAGAATCCGACACTAATGCTCCTAAAATGAACTGAGCAGGAAGGCTGTGGGCGGCCTCCTTGTGGACAGGCTCAAGAGCCACAGCATTCCAGGGAAGCCCTCACCCCTCGGTCAAGGCAGAAGAAAGGACACTGCATGAGGGGACGGTCAGAATGGAAAGCCCACCGCACACCTGAGAGGAGAAAATCCCCTGCCCCTACAGCTGAGGTTTGTGGATAACAGCAACTACCCCCATTCCCAGTTGCTCCTGAAAGGCTGCCTGAGCCGTGGCTCTTGCTGCCCTGGACAGAGACTTCCAGTGTCTCCAGAGCTCAGTGGGTTTCCAGAGTCCACCGTACACTTCCTGGAGCAGGATCCTACCCTCCCTAGTTAAGTCTTGGAACTGGCTGACCACCTTGCTTCATAAACCGGAAGCTTCCCGGGGAGAATATTGTTTCATACAAACTGCCACATTCCCAGCCCATGTTTCTGAAGCTCTAGATAGGGACACATTTCATCCAACATTCCCTCACCCAGTGATCCATGGACACACTTGCCAATAAGGAAGAAACTAGACTCCCTCTCTGGTGGAGGACAGGGTCATTAACTCAGCTGAGAACTTAGTTTTTATCACTAGTGCTAGGTAACGTGTTAAAGTTATTGCATTTTTAAGGAGAATGACCTTCACTTACTCAAGTTGAAGCAAATATTGCTGCAAAAAAGCACTGACTGCATTGCAGGGATTTTGTTTGTGGTGTGTGTGTGGTGTGTGTGTGTGTGTGTGTGTGTGTCTTCCTTTCAGGAAATACACTCTTAAATACTTCCTCACTCTGGTCGTATTGCCCTTTCCTTTGAAATAACTTTTCAAAAACAAAGAAAACCTATTTTTATTACCTTTACATTTCACTGCATAATGTTTGCTATTAGTCTACAATGAGAAGTTGGCACTTTTATAAAACAAAATGGACATTCAAAAGATTGCCAGTGCTAATGCTTTGGAAAGGCTACACACATTGGTGAAATACTGGGCTGTTTAAAATATTTTACCAAATTATGAACATTTGACGCACTAGTCTCTGAGACTGGGAGGAGAGCAAAACTAGGTTTCCTTTCCTAGCAGCCATACTGGATGCTCATTATATTATGAAATAGTTTCTTTTAAAATGAATCATTTGAACTTTAAAATATAGTTTTGAAAATCAGTAATGGTGTTATGACAGAATAGAAAGTCTTCTGTACATACCACTAAAAATCTATTTCTCTTGTTTGAGTCCAGATTTAATGGGTTACCATTTTAAAGGATACTAGACACAAAGATCTCTGTTTGAATCATTATATTGGGCTCCTCATTTAATTTTAAGTAATTCAAAACAATTCAAAATGTTGCTTTATTGCCCCACAAACAAGCATTTTCAAACAATGTTATAGCATATGTATACTGTCAATATCTTAAAAATTAATGTATTTATAAATATATCGGAAAAATATGGTTATGCAATAATGTACTTTTAAGAAATGGTATATCAGACCAAGATTACCTGATGATGCATCAGAAGGCTTCATAGCTTTTATATTTAGTAACAGAAAAATTGTTTCATTTTATCATTTATTTTTCGTCAAAGTTTTTATAAGCATATATGAATTAAGTATTCATTAGTTCATTGATATGACCATTGACCATTTTTAAAAGTCTAAATTGTAATATGTTAACTCCTGATGGCTTGCTGTCAATAAATTATTTTTTTCCTATGATCAGTTTACTTTGGGAAACACTGCCATAGTCAAAGGGATATCTCCAACCCAAAGTTCAAACTAAATACTTCCATTGTGTAAGATGCCACATTTTGAAGCACAGAGAAATATCTGGCAGCTTTGTAGTTTGAAGCCAATTCAAACGGGTGCTATGTTTCAGTTGCACTGATGTGTTACTATTTTTTTAGGTGAAAGAAGGCAACAGGTAGATTCCCCTGCCTGACACAATGATAACCGCACTTTTCACATTTTCGTGTTTATTCTAAACAAGATTACTGAGAGTCATATAAAGCTTTACCTTTACCCAAAGGGGGTTTATTTCAAGTGGCAAAAGCTCACTAAAGTCTAAATGCTTTATTAACTATAATTGTCAGCATATTGTGTTTAAAAAACACTACTTCCCTAGAGCAGGGGTTGGCCAGCCTTTTGTAAAAGGGCCAGATAGTAAATATTTTACACTTTGCCATCTGGTCTCTGCTGTGTCTACTCCACTCTGCTGCGGTAGCATGGAAGCAGCACAGAGAAGACAGAAATGAGTGTGCACGGCTGTGTTCCAGTAAAACCTGATTTGTGAACACTGAAATATATATTTTATATAATTCTCACGTGCCACCAAATAGTACTTTCTTTTGAATTTTTTTCAACAATTTAAAAATGTAAGGCCAGGTGAGGTGGCTCACGCCTATAATCCTAGCACTTTGGGAGGCCAAGGCGGGTGGATCACCTGAGGTCAGGAGTTCAAGACTAGCCTGGCCAACATGGTGAAACCCTGTCTCTACCAAAAATACAAAAATTAGCCAGGTGTGGTGGCAGATGCCTGTACTCCCAACTACTCTGGAGGCTGAGGCAGGAGAATCGCTTGAACCTGGGAGGCGGAGGTTGCAATGAGCCAAGATCGCACATTGCACTCCAGCCTGGGCGACAAGAGTGAAACTCCGTCTCGAAAAATAATAATAAGAAAATTAAATTAAAAATAAAAATGTAAAAACTATTCTTAGGTCACAGGCCCTACAAGAATAAGCTGTGTGCCAAATTTGGCCCATGGGCCAAATGTACGTATGCCCAGCCCTGTTCTATCAAGCAACAGTGAAACTGTCCCTCCTTAGAGACTACCATCCCTAAAACGACTGACTGTACTCGCCATGTGCTGGAAAATGGGAAGACTTAAAAAAAGGGAAATCACTGAGGCAGAGTCAAGGGGCGACAGACCTTACTCGGGATGCCCTCCTGCCCACCCATGCACAGAGGGCCACATCATCCTGGCATCCACAGCCAGCACAGCGACCAAGGCCGTCCATACCCCACCCAACGGGCCTGCAGAGGTGGCCATCTGCGTCTGCGCAGCACTGACTCGCTGGGCATGCCTCCTCTTCCATCAAGTCACCACTCCCCACTGTGGCTCTGAGAGGAACAGAAAGCCACTTTCCCATCCCCCATCCCCTGCGCTGGCAGTCCAGCGACTAAAAGGGCCCAGCTTCTCTGACTGCTAATGGCCCGGCAAGTCTCCTAACAGTGTGCTCTGCCTACACAAAGGGCGCCGGGGCGTGCGTGCCCGGCTCTCGCAGATCACAGCCAGGGCCTGCCCGAGGACTGGCATTTCAATTCACCAAACGTCTTAATTCGGAGGGGGACGGAACACTTTCTACAGAACATTTTAAAGCACATGGGAAGTTTGGGCCCTTTCGCAGTAGAGAGGAAGGAACGAAGGGGAGGAATTTGTAGGCTGTTGTTTAAGGATTGTTAAAGTGCGCACATCATCAGCTGACAAAGATCGGCCGACTGCCAATGCCTCCCCAAACTCACGAAAGCCAAAATTCAGAGTACAGCGTAAAAGGGGGTGCGAGTGGCCTTTACTTTTATAAAGGACATTTGTACACAATGTCGCACAATAAACAACGTCAAGTCTGGGCACACATTACCCACATCTCAGTCAAAAGAAAAGGGTGGCCTGGCCCAGCCCCGAAGGGTTTTCTCTGAGAAATAGGTTGGGGTGTAAAGGTCCCACGCGTGCACCCACAGTCCGTGGCACCTTCCTCTGGTGCACCGTGGCAGGACGCTTTGTTCTTTCCCTAGGGGTCTCCAGCAAACTGCAAGGGCTACAATATGATATTTAGAGTTAAAAACCAATCCCAAGGCCTTAGAACCATGCCCGGGAGTTGGGAGCCTTTTTCTTGGAGGCAGCTGCTCCGGGCCTTGGAAGTTTCTTCCTATTCTGACGCAGGCTGGGAATTCTAGAGGCCTTGTAGGAAGGTCAAACGGACGAGAAGACTGAGGTCAGAGGCTTTCGGAGCATTGCCCGGGCTCTCTAAGCTCGCTCACTTGTCTGCGGGGGTGCGAGTCGACGGTTCAAAGTCTCCCTCCTTTCCCTCCACGCGCCCCTCACGCCAGACTCGCCACGCTCAGCAAAGCGTCCCAGCAAGTTCCTTGAGGCGGCAGCCCGAGCTCCACGTGCTAATCAACCCCGCCCCACGGCTCTTCGAAACTCTCCAGGCTCAGAGCGCGTCCGCAGGGCGCGCGTAGCGCAGCGTGTAGTTGGCGCCCGCGTTGTTGTCCCAGTACTCGCCCTGCGCGCAGCGGTAGCAGACAGCGAAGTGGACCGCGACGCCGCGCTCGTCGGCGTCCTCTTCGTCCTCAGGCTGCAGGCCCGGGGGCAGGCACAGCGAGAAGTGGAAGCACTCGGCGCCTGGCTCTTTCTTGGCATCCCCGGACCCTGGCTCGGAGGCCCCAGACGGTGCCTCTGGCTGCTGTGGCTCCAGCGGCTCGGGCTGCAGCTCAGCCGGCACGTCCAGGAAGGAGCGCCACTCGGTAAAGGTGTAGCGCACGGTCACGGCCCTGGGCCCAGGGCAGCTGAGCACCCGGCCGGAGCCCTTCACCTCAGCGCCCGAGGCCGTCGAGCACTGCACGCGCTCCAGGCACACGCGCTGCCGCTGCAGACGCTCGGCCGCGGCGCTCGGCCCCGGGAGCTGGAAGAGCGGCCGGAGCCGGGAAGGCGGCGCTGAAAGGGGCGCGGCCACTGCCGCCGCGGCCAGCAGCCCCCCGAGCTGCTCCAGGTCCTCGGCACGCATAGGGAAGCTTCGGAGGCGCGAGAGCACGGCGGGCGGCACCTGCGGCTCCTCCGCCTCGCTGAAGTGCTTCACGCTGGCCAGGCTTAGCCCCAGCGTGTCCGCGAACTGCACCCGCTTCTTGCACTTGGCGCAGCAGCCGCCCGGGCCGAGCTGTGCGTCCTCCGCCCCCTCGCCGCCCAGTGCCACCGCCTGTTGCTGCTGCTGCTGCAGGAACTTGGCCGCCTGCAAGATGGGGTCGGCGGGCAAGGAAAAGGAGCGCGCGCGGCAGCGGCGGCGGCATTCCAGCAGCTCCTCCTGCTCCTGGGGGGCGGCCTCTTCCTTCGGGGACAGGGGCCTATCCCCTAGCTGAGCGTCAGGACTCGGGGTCTCCGAAGCGCCACCGCCGTCGCCGCCACCCTGCACACAGGGGACCACCGGGGCGGGCAGCTCCTCGGCCGGCGGGGCCTCTCGGAAGGGCGCTGGTCCCGGCGCCTCCAAACTTAGCCGCGCCCCTATGGGCTCCATGACGCCGTTCGCCCCTGGACTTGCTCGGGCCGAACCGGGCCCCTCTGGAGACTTAACTAACTCCTCGGGCCGTGGAAGGAGCGCAGGGCTGCAGTTCAGGCTCGCCCTCCCCGAGGCGAGTCGCCCCAGGCTCGACAAGACAACGTAGTTCCACTTTGGAGCCTCCGGCTTTTAGCTGCGGCTGCCCAGGGCGAAGTGGGAGGAGGATGCGGGCCTGGGGCCGGCTCCGGGGCCACGCCGCCTCCCGGTTGAACCTGCCCGCGACGGGGGAGGGCCGGGGGCGGGGAGGCGCGGCCGCTGGGACACCTGGAAGCCGTGTTCCCGAGTGCTCCGGTGGAATGCGGGGGGCGACTTTCTGTCGTTCGCGGGCTCCCTGCAGCCCTCACCCGCACCCCCGGCGGGGCTCGCGTCTGTTCCGCTTCTTGAGTGCCTCGAAGTGGGGGTGCAGAGCTCGCGCTCAACCTTCAGAGACCCCCACGTGCACAAAGTCTTCCTGCCCATGAACTTGGCCTGACGGCTCTGCCCCCAGAGGGTCACTGAGCGCTCTCCTCTTGGCTGCCTCACGGGCTGGGGAGTCCCCGGTGCAGCGCGCAACTGGGGAAATCTTGCCTACGCAGAGGCTGGAAGGAGGCCCATTCCGCGCCGCCGGAGAGCGGGGAGCGCATCCCTTCCCTTCTGCTCCTGCTTTCCCCAAACTTCAGGGCGCCCCGGGTTCCAATCCCACTCGGAAGCCTGACTCGGTCAGGCGCGCTCCGCTCTGCTCTTCCGAAAGCCGGGAGGCAGGAGCCGCCGCCCCCATCTGCCCAGTGGCGGCGCGGGGTGGGCTGCGGCCAGACTGGGGCGGGGACCGTGTGGGGACGCGCCGGGGAGCGGCCATGGCCCGCAGCCGAGAGCGGCCGGAGGCCATTCGCGCCAGGCCCGGGAGCACGTCCCGCCCCTCCCCCTGTCCCGCCCGACGCGCCCGCGAGTCCGCGCCCCGGGATCCCGCAGGGAGGGCGGAGAGGGGGCCCCGTGGGGCCGGCGCCCACGCGGCACGCACCACCTCCCACCGCAACCGGACGCCAGCGCCCCAAGCACCCTCCCCGCCCACCGGGAGTGGGGGCGTGGCCCGCGCCGGACTGCGCTGTCACCGCCCTGCTGCTCCGGCCTTGCCAGGGGCCAAGGCCCGAACCTGAGGCCGGGGAGGGGTGGGGAAGCGCGTCGTGGTACCTAGGGATTGGGGGAACGTCTAAAAGTGGTGTTTTTCTTGTTTTGGTTTTAAGGCCACCCTGAGGGCCATCTAAGTCAGTGATTCTACTTCAGCATGCACGGACATCACTCGGGGGCCCGTTGTCACATCACAGGGCCCCACTCCCAGAGTTTCCTTCTTTCTAACTTTTTCGAGATAGGGGTCTTGCTATGCTGCCCAGGTTGGTCTCAAATTCCCGGCCTCAAGCAGTCCTCCCGCCTCAGCCTCTAAGGTAGCTGGGATTACAGGCGCCCCCCACTGCTCCCAGCTCCCTAGCGTTTGTGACTCAGTGGGCTTGGGCTGGGGCCTGGAAGTATTTCTAACAAGGGGATGCTGATGCTGGGCTCTGGGGACCGTATTTAAACCTATGTGGATGTGTATTCAGTTACTTATATAGAAAGTTGGGGATTCTAGAAACAGAACCACTAATTAAGAAACGTAATTAATTGGGGCTTCATAACTAAAACATGTCATGGTTTGGCAGAACTGAAAGGGGCCAGGGTTTTAGCCATGTTGGCAGAGGGCAGGCAAAAGAGATGGTGGGTGAGGAGCGTGTTAAGAGCTTACATTGATTGACTGAGCACCTACAGGATGTCCTGTCCATGAAATAGGAATCACATCATTCCTGCCTACATATAGGACACAACACTGCAGAAAGATTTCTCATCGCCAAGGCCCCACAGGGTGGCTTTCATGGGATTTGAAGCCAGGCAGCTTAGAGGAAACATTTCCCCCATCACTACTAAGCCTGGGCTGGGAGTGATGTCCTGTAAAGGGGGCCCTGCCGGTCCCCTTGCTGGACTCTTGCTGGTCATTTTATGCCCAGTGTGGAATTCCATGACTGTGTCTTGACTTGGGCATGGCATCTCCAAGAGGCCCCAGGCGCACACGGCCTGTCTTCCTGCAGCAACTCTGATTTCGGGAAGGACATTGCTTTTACATTTAAATACACATTGCTACATTATGGAGTTAAATACAAAATTCACAAGCTATTTTAAAGATAAAATAAGACTTCAAAGAGATTTTGAGGTGGTGGCGACCCTTTGGGCTACAACCCTCACGGGGGCACATGCTCACTCCAGGACAGAGAAGGAGGTGAGGGAGGTGCTGGGGCATAGAATTTAAGGAGGCATCACTCTCAGGGTCATGCAGGTGCACTGGTCCCAGCCCCGGCCCACCCTCCTCTGTGCGGTGGAAATGCTAGAGGTCCCACCCCCGGGGAGCTCTCAGTGCGTGGGAGGGGCCAACACTATACAAACTCAGCCCCTGTGGCCAATGCTGAGAAGGTGGTATCTGACCTGGTCAGGAGGCCTGTGAGGAAGGTGAGGTGGAAGGAACAGCTCGGACTGCAAGGAAGAACGTGCTGGGCCACGCAGAGGCTCTGTTGGAGGGAGTGTCAGGGGGCTGGACTGGAAGAAGGCCAGGGTGGCCTGAGGGCAGAGAGCACAGAGGAACTGGCGGAGCTGAGGATGGGAGGGGACAGCCACTCAACCTTGAGCAATGAGAGGCCGTCAAAAGGTTTTGAGTCATGAATGTGACTAACCAGATTTAAATTTTGAAAAGATCATTCTGGATACAGGACAAAGAGCAAATTACTGGGGACAGAAACAATGTGAGTGAGCCCCATAGGAGGCTGTTGCCATTGTTGTGGTGAAGGGTGATCATACTTAAGAGATGATGGTTGTGGGGTGGACAAATCTGAGCGCTATTTAGGAGTGAAAATCAATGTAGCACACTTATGGCCCCAAGTGGGGGTAGGTGCAGGGAGGCAGGGGGAGGGAGGTGCCTTAGGATTTGGACTTGAGCTGTTGGGTAGACAGTAGCAGTCACTGGGGCAGGGACCCCCAGAAGAGGAATAGAGGGAGGGCAAGATCATGAATTCTGTTTTGACCAGGTTGAGCTTCTCTGGTTCTTACCAACACCAAGTGGTGTCTAACACCAGTTCTCCAACAGGGTGTCCAATAATTCAATTCTGACATTATCTACCTGGAGCTAGTGTCTGTCTCCACAGCTTAGAGGCTCAGTCCCACAAGACGGCCCCCACTTCAGAAGCCACTTGCAAACGGGGTGCCCAGGCTGCCTGCATTTCTGCCCCTCCAGCTACAAATTAGTGTTCCCACAACCCATCCCCAGCTTCCATATGACTCACGGAACTCAGGAAAACACTTTGCTTGAGTTCACCAGTTTATTATAAAGAAGAAAACTCAGGAACTGGCAAAGGGAAGAGATAGAAGACAGAGTGTGCGATGGGCATGGGACTTCCAGGGCCCCTCTGGGTGCACCAGCCTCCAGGGTCTCCACATGCTCCCCACCCAGAAGCCCCACCAGCCTTGCTCAGTCTGCAGCCCCTGCCCCTTTCTGGAGGTCAGTGGGTGGAGTTAAAAGTTCCAGTCCTCTAATCACTTGGTGTTTCTGGTACCCAGCCCATCTTGAGGCTGTCTAGAGAGCCCACTCTCAGTCATCTCATTAGCATAAATTCAGGTGTGATCAAAAGGGACTCTTTATAAAAAACAATTATGTTACAACAAAATAACACTAACAATGTAAGTAATAACAAATGTTCTATCAGAAAATTCCAAGAGTTTTAGCCTTTCTATTTCAGGAACCAAGGACAAAGACCAAATGTCTATTTTTATTATACTACAGGAGGTCTAAAGCTGAGAAGGGAAGAGGGCCCAGGACTGAGCTTTGAGCAGCCCTGATGTTCCCAGGTCAGGAGGAGGAGGATGAGCCTGCAACAGGGATAGAGAATGAACAGCCAGAAGGGTTGGAGGGAATGGAAGAGGGTTGTTCTCAGAAGCCAAGGAAGGACTTCAGAAGCAGAAACGGTGTGCACCCACCTTGCAGCCCATGGGGACTTCGGGTCCTCCCCCTTGCCTCCTGAAAGGTGCAGAAACAATGGGTGATCTCTGGCTCCCACACCACTCCTCCACTCTGGCACAATGGATGGTGGGGATGGACTGCTTTTCCAAGCTCACTGTCCCCTAAGCTTTCTCCCGGAGACAGGGCCCAGGTCTTCTCTACTCTGAGATGCAAAGCCCTGAAGTTAATAGTTAAATGATGTTAACATGTAAACTAACTTCTTGAAATTTAGACTGTGCAGTCTACCCCCCCCCCCCCCCCGCCCAAGTGTGTTCAGTCCTACTTCAAACATCATGTGCCTCCACTGCTAAAATATTTACTCCGGGCATTCAGAGGCTCCAAGCTTTACCGTTTGTTCGTGTTACCTATTGCTGCATAACAAGCCACCCCAAACAGGGCTGTTTTTAAAAATAATAACAGTATTTATTTTCTTTATTAATCTGTAGATTGGGCAGGGCTCTCTCAGGGATAGCTTGTCTCTTCTCTATTTGCAGTGGTTTGAAGGCTGGGGCTGGGATCATCTGATCACCAGGTCTGGAGTCTGGGCTGGGAAATGTCAAACAATTCAGTTGAAGTCATTGGAAAGGAATTTTCCCCTTTGCATTGAAAACAGAAATGGTCCTGGACCCTTCCTAGATATACCAAGGCAATGTTACACTCAAACCCTGTAGTCGGATTCCATAGGTAGCATTCTCAAACCCCTCAAGGAAGTCATAATTGGTTCCGGCACTGCCTTTTAAGCATAAATATTTGCCAAATTACCAAATGTTTCAGCTGTTTCCCAGGCCACACTTGCACAGCCCGAGATAGTTCAGGTGCTCCCGGTTCGGATGCTCGACACCAAAAATTATGAATGAGTAGACCAAAAACCTGGAATAACTTGGCCAAGTAACAAAACCAGGCCTTACAGCTTCCAGACCCAGATTGCAGGCCTCCTGTATTAGATATTTGGCAAACAGTTCTGCTCTTCCAGGGGCACATGGAGGTATGCAGATCCCAGTATGACCAATGACAAGGGTCATGAAACACATTAGATCTGGAGAATTGCAGGTTCCACTCTGACTTTGACCATGAACAGCACTGGTCTTTTTTTCTCTTTTTATTTTATGTGGCAACAAGGCATGTAAAGGGTTTTCACTTAAAAGGTCAGGACAGTTTGGACTCAGATATCTGGGACCTTCCATCACCATGTACTCCACCTTGAATACTAGCCAAATTACAAACTTGGGCTCCTTCATTCATATAGTAGTGCCACATAAACATACCAGATGAGATGTCATAGAATACCCACTATATCCTCACTCCAAGTTCTTTTCAATGTCGAGGACCTGATTTCCAAGTTTTAGAATTCATGGCTTGGAAAAGGTGATCCTAAATATTCCCATGGTAATAGAACCAGAGTTCAATACCACTATGCAAACATTGGAAGTATTCCAGTCAGAAATGAATAGTTTAGCCACTGTTGTACTCCAAAATAGTTGTGCCCTGGATACACTGCCCAACAAGGAGGAGCTTGCACAATCATTGGTGAAAAATTCTGCTTCCTTGTGAATCAGATAGGACAAATGGTGTTTAATTCGTACCTTTAAAAACAAAGTTAACACTCCATCAGATCAATGAGTCTCAACCATTTGATTGGACTGGCCTATTCCCAGGATAGGGAGACTGGTTTAATGGTATAAGGAGAAGTATGTTTAGTTTTGTTGTTGTAGTTGTTCTGTTTGTTTATTCTTGTTCTAATCCATCTTCTTCTCTCCTTTTGCAAATCTCTTACCACTCAGCTACTGATTCCATTTTTCTCTTCACATCCACCAAGTCAGCTTTTAATATGTGACGCTTCCTATGAAGTTTCAGATAGGGAATTGAAGGGGATCAGAACACGTGACCCCAAAATATGCCATTTTGGCACGTTGATTATTTTGAGCTGGAAGCAATTGAGAAGATGCTGGAAGACCTCTCAGACTTCCCCTTTCTACCTAAAAGCAGGACATAAATATTCTATAAGAAAGATGCCTTCCTTGCACCAAGAAGAGAATATTCTTATCATTAGAGATGGGAAGTCTATGCAGAGATGAATCTGTGTAAACAAACCTACTAAATTAACCTTTGTCTTTCATTAGTTTCCTCCATATATTTCCTAGTTACTTTCTGACAGTTTACTGATCCCAGCCCAAACCCCTTTTTCCTTTGTTTTATTACATCTCCACAATTCTTTGTTAAAAGGGTGTGTAAGCTCTCAGACCTATCCACTTCTTTGGGTTTTTATTTCTTACATAGGAAGGGTTTTGTGTACACATAGAAATATTCGTATTAAGTAAAATTTGTGTGCTTTTCTCCTGGTTAGCTGCCTTTGTGAGTTTAATTCTCAGGCCCAGCCATAGAACCCAAGAGGATAGAGGAAAAGCCTTTCCTCTCCTACACCATATATAATATGCCAAAGTATTTTTAAATATTTAAAAATTTTAAGTATTTTAAAAGAGCAAAAGCATTTTAGAAATAATTTTCCTAACTCTTCCTTGGCTTTTGAAAGAGATTAGCTTGCTTAAGCTAAAGCCACAGTGATTTTTCAGGGGCTTAACTGCAGCAGTGGAAACTTTCAAGAAAAATGCCCTTATAACTTGAAGGGATCAAGTTCTATAGCACCTTAGGCCCCATTTATCAACACAAACTGAAATATGGCAAGGGAATACACTTGCAATGAATTTGAAAAAAACATGACCCTTCTTGCCTGGATCATTTGTTTTCTCATATGTGTGCCTTCTAATAGAATTGAGGAACTTTAAGGGCTCAGAATATAAAGCCAGGGAGATTTAAATAATGTGTTTAACCGAAGCCATTTAGCCAATCTAGAAGAGCCAGGACTAGAATGACATCTAGTACAGCTGACACCTACTGGTCACCGTGTACTAAACACTGCTTACATCATTTATCGTCCTCATACAGCCCTATGGGATGAGGATGATGATTATACCCAACAACAGGTCTTAGAGGCTGAAAGAGGTTAAATGAATAGCTCTTGTTACCCAGGTAGCAAACTGCTGAGCCAGGATTTGAGATGAAGCACGCTGGCACAGTCCACTGTCTGAGCCCCATTGCAGCCCTCTCTGGAATTCCACTTGAGACAGGTCATGTTGCTTTTGATTAAAAAAAAAAAAAAGTACCCAGCTGAAAGGGGCCATCCCACCTTCTTACAGCCAAGGGGATGAGGAGAAAATAGGAAAGATTTAAGGCTTTTTATATGTTTTTAAAATTCTTAATCTCTTCGGCTTCTCCATTTCAATGTGCTTTACTTATGTTTACTTGATTAAGACTTTAACATGATTTGCATAATCTTGTCTCATTGTAACTTGTAGGTCAGGACTGACTGGCCTGAGGATGAACCCCAAAATGTTTCTGAAAGTAACAATTATGTAAACTTTACATTCTGCAATTATTCTTAACATACAAGCAATAAAAATTTGTTAAGATTACTGAGGAAAGTTGTAGAATCATCCTTCATATTTTAGAAGAAGAACCCTAAATGGATTTTGCTTCTAAAGAATCAGTTTTAACTCAATTTTGCTTCTATTTATGTGATTCCATTAGTTGTATAATCATTTATTTTACATGCTGTTTTCAGTAATAAAATTCTTAGAATATTTCCACCAAATAAAAATTAAAGATAAAAAACCCTTTAAATTCTAAAGGGACCAATAGAATATAGTTGACTTTCTATCTATTAATTCTTCAAGTTTTAGTGTCAAGTTTTTATTCTCAGGTAGATCTTACACCCCTTTTAAGTCATTTCACTTAATATTTCATAGTTTTTTAAAATTTAACTTTGGATGACTGTAAATACTCATCATGGTAAACACAAATATGTAAAAATGTCAGCTCTTGATACACGTGACAGGATTCTAACTGATGAACAGAAAAAACCACTGGGAGTCCAGGACTGATGGCGACCTCCCACTTCCACATCATCACCCGGAGCAGGTCCTGTCCCCAGCGTCTTTCAGCTTCTGGGAGGAACGCCCTTCATTCACCTTCTCAACTTCCCTGTCCACAGAGCCTGCCCACTTTTTCTACGTGAGGCAGAACTAAAAGGTTAGGGAAATGACCGCGTGTGACAGTTTTCTTTGAGGGAAGAACTTTGCGTTCTCACTGTATGACAGAGACCATGTCTTCCGTAATCCTTATAGGAACCTAGTGAGGTGGTGGAGTAGACGGCGTGGCTGACCTGCCCTAATGGGTATCCCCACTGTCCCACACACAGCCCCTGGCTCAGGGGAAGCTGACCCCAACCTGCTCCAGAATAGCGTCTGTGTGACTTAAGAGCAGCACCCCGGCCTAGGACGGGTTCAGGAAGGAGCAAGTAAGATGTGGTAGGGGGAGCCTTCGAGGAAGCTCCTGAGGGAGGTTTCCTTTTTTCTCAAGAGAAAGTAGAAGATATGGCCTCTCTTGTTCCCTGGACATTATTGTATCACCTTGAGTGGTTGCAGCCACCCTGCTACTGTCAGAGGTGAGGCCATGAGCATGAGAAATGGAAGAGAGAAGAACGGAGGTCCTTGGCGTGATCGTGTGATTGAGTGACTAGATCGATGCTTCTCAATGAGCCGGCATTTTCAGCAGAACAGTTCCTTGATGGGGTGGGCTGCTACAGACATTCTAAGATCTCCAACATCCATGATCCCCACCCTCAGAATGCTGCTAGCAGCCCTTGGAATTGTGACAACTGAAAGTTCTACACCCCTGTTCCCAAGCACCCCTCCTTAGGTGGTGATACCATCCCAACCCCATTGACAGCAAAGATGCACTGTGGCTAGACCTCCTATTGTGTGGGATGAAAAATACAACCTTAGGTTTCAGCCAGCTGGAGTTGAGTTTACTGCTGCTCGCAGCACAGAGTGTCCTAACAGGAAGACACTATTATAATAATTTTGAAAGAAAGAATACATTGAGCCTCCAAGAGCTCAAGAAATGTGCCCAAGGCTATCAATGAATTGGTAACAAAGCCAGGATTTGGCTCAAGGTCTAACTCTACAGCCTGGCTATTTTCTCCCTGTCTACCTTCCTTCCAGTCACATGCAAGTTACTCTGGCTGGTTTGTTCAAAGGGAAACAAACAAAAAACCAACAAAGTACAGAATAGTTATGTGGAAAAAAAAAAATAGCTGGGCGCAGAGGCTCACACCTGTAATCTCAACACTTCCGGAGGCCAAGACGGGTGGATCACTTGAGCCCAGGAGTTTGAGACCAGCCTGGGCAACATGGTGAAACCCTGTCTCTACAAAAAAATAGAAAAATTAGCTGGGCGTGGTGATGCACACTTATAGTTCCAGCTACTAAGGAGGCTGAGGTGAGAGGATTGCCTGAGCCCAGGAGAATGAGGCTGCAGTGAGCCATGATCGCACCACTGCACTCCAGCCTGCGTGACGGGTTTTTTCTGAGAACCCTGTTTCAAAAAAAAAAAAAATACATAAACCCAGTTAGCAGGGGGTGCCTCTGAGGAGCTAAGGTGTATGAAGTGGGAGGGAAACTTACTTTTCATTCCAGATCCTTTTATACTGTTTGAATTCTTTAGTGCAAATATCTTTCCATTTTGTAAAACAGCAAAATTTAAAAAGCAATTATGAATAAATGTTATGTTATGTATATTTTGCCACAATTTAAAACATAATAAGAATTTTTTAAAAAGCAATGTAGCACTCAACATTGTTCTAACAGCATTTGGATTCATTACAGCATTTGACTTCTGTCCTCTCATTAGCCACCTTTGGCCACTTGATCTTATTTCTATGCCCATTCTTCCTTTCATTATAATGTCTTCTTGTCCATTCCTTCCTTTTCCAGATTGCTGTTGCCTCCCCAGTGTGACCCACCTGCAGTCCTCTGGTGCAGCTCTGATAGAGAAATCTTTGATGCCAACTATATCCACCTACCAAGTATAGTGTGAATTCCTCACCCCAACATAATCTGACACTGACCATATGTCCATCCTCCTCTCCTCTATCCCCCTTAAGATGGTGTTTTCTGCAGAGCTTCCCCTAGGAATCCCTTGGGCTAATGTGAGCTCCAGTCCCTCTGCTCCAAATTTAGCTGAGAAGTCATACTTCTACCTGTTTTGCACATTGAGATTCCCTAGGATTTTGTTTGAGCAAAGTGCTTGTGTTAGGCTATTCTTCCATTGCTATAAATATCTGAGACTGGATAATTTATAAAGAAAAGAGGTTGAACTGGATCACGGTTCTGCAGGCTATACAGGAAGCATGACACTGGCATCTGCTTGGCTTCTGGGGAGGCCTCAGGAAGCCTACAATCATGGCGGAAGGTGAAGGGCACCAGCAGGTCACATGGCAAGAGAGGGAGCAAGGGTGGGGGGAGGTGCCACACACTTTTAAACACCCAGATCTTGCAAGAATTCACTCCCTATTGGGAGGACAGCACCAAAGGAAGAGCACTAAACCAGTTATGAGAAATCCACCCCCATAATCCAATCACCTCTCACCAAGCTCCACCTCCAACATTAGGGATTACAATTCAACAGGAGATTTAGCAGGGACAACAGCCAAACTATATCAGCACTCCACAGAAAAACAGTATCACCATTATGACCACCATCACCATCACCACCATCAACGTGTATATAAAAGCCAGTACCTTAGAGAAATCTCCTCCAAATCACTTCCCTTAATCACTTCCCTTACTTGTGCTTCTCCATATATACCTATTTAACAAACCTGCATGTTGTGCACATGTACCCTAGAACTTAAAGTATAATTAAAAAAAAAAAAAGAAAGAAAAGCAACTCCTCACTTGTTCAAGTGTTATCATGAAATTGCCACAACCCAGTCACAGCATAGCTTCAAGCTGTACTCAGAATTCTAGTTCTCTTGCTGCTATTTCTATCTGCATTGACTTCTTCCACTGAAGCCTTGAACCTCTCAAAGTCATCCATGAGGACTGGAATAAACTTCTTCCAAACTCCAAACTCCAAAAAAAAAAAAAAAAAAAAAAAAAGTACCTGTGCTTCTCTCCCCATCTCATTATCAAAATTAGCCAGTCAGAGGCAATTTACAAATTTTACCAACTTTTTGCCATTTTTCTAGACTGACCTAGTCAGTAATAATGGCTTCCACTCAGAGGCCAATTTATGGTGAAACTACTGAAGCTTCAGTGCCCTTCGACCTCTTTTCTATGTATTTACATAGCCATGCTTTTGTAGAATTTGCAAAAGTAAGGTATTTCAACTGCATTCAGTTAAGCCCACTTGTATAAGAGGCTGTTGGAGTGGCCAGTGCGTTTTGGGGATCCAGATGGGGGGCAGGTGAATTAGGGACAAATAAGGAGCAGATGAGTTTAGTGGTGTACATAGAGGTAACCTGCAGCCACGTGTGTCTAGCTGAGGCATTGGTGGTGTTGGAATAGTGTCAGAATGGCTTCCAAGAGGCTTCTGTGGCCCCCTGTGCTCCCAAGCAGCAGCATGACAGGAAGGTATAAGGCCAGCCAGTCGCAGAAGAACGCCACCTCCAGATGTTCACTTCCATATTACCCACTCCCCTGGGTGTGGCGGGGCCTAGAGCCCCCTGCCTACTGAATAGTTACGGGATGTCATTTCTGTGATTAGGTCTCTTGCCAACGCTCCCTCTTGCTGACATTCTGATGGATCCAGCTGTTGTGTCTTAAGATGCTTTCTGGAGAGGCTCACATAGAGAGTCACATTTTATTTTATGGTGATCATGGAAAGTGGAATATATCAGATTTCTGTGCTTGTTGGCATAATCCTATACTATATGTATAGGATTATATATTATACAGACTATATATAAAATATATATACTATGTACTATATATAATATAGTATTTATAATCCTATATAGTATAGGATATACATATAGATATATAGAGAGATATATATAGAGATATATATAGATATATAAAATAGGAAAAAAAATATATATACACATAGTGTGACCCACCTGCAGTCCTCTGGTGCAGCTCTGATAGAGAAATCTTTGATGCCAATATATATAAAAAATATATATATTTTTTAACAGTCTTGCTCTGTCACCCAGGCTGGGGCACAGTAGCACTATCTCAGCTCACTGTAACCTCCACTTCCCGGGTTCAAATGATTCTTGTGCCACAGCCTCCCGAGTAGCTGGGATAACAGGCGTGTGCCACCAGGCCTGACTAATTTTTTTCTATTTTAAGTAGAGATGTTGGCTAGGCTGGTCTCGAACTCTGGCCTCATGTGATCGGCCCACTGCCCGCCTCGGCCTCCCAAAGCGCTGGGATTACAGTGTGAGCCACCATGTCCGGCCCCTATACTACATTTTTTAATAACTGACATACAAAGGAAACTTCATAAAGGTCTTCCAAAATTTTCCTACAAAAATATAAAGGAAAATGTATTATAAAGACATGTCATGCAATTAATTTAAAAATTATGTTTCATACATTTTGTGATGTTTGTGGTATATGTCAGTCTTTAAATGTGATTTTCTTATTCTAAATAAATGCTTCTTACATCTAATTTTTACTGGAAATTTTATGAACTTTTTCTAAAAGAAGTCTTCATCCCCTGCCCCTCCCTGATCACCTATAATTAGAAAAGCTTCAGGCTCCATAGAGTCTGGATCTGCTTATAAAAACAAACAAACAAACAAAAACCTGGTCTTACCTTTGTTTAAAACTTTGATGTGGGCCGATGCGGTGGCTATTTCTACCACATCTGCGTTCTACCACACTGCAGAGGTTGCAGTGAGCCGAGATCGTGCCATTGAACTCCAGCCTGGGCAACGAGAGTGAAACTCTGTCTTAAAAAAAAAAAAAAAAAAACTTTGATGTGAGAAATGCAAATCAGAACCACAATGAGATATCATCTCACACCAGTCAGAATGCCTATTATTACAAAGTCAAAAAACAACAGATGCTGACGAGGTTGTGGAGAAAAATGTAGGCTTTTACACTGTTGGTGGGAGTGTAAATTAGTTTAACCATTGTGGAAGACAGTGTGGCGATTCCTCAGAGACCTAGAAGCAGAAATACCATTCAACCCAGCAATCTCATTACTGGATATATATCCAAAGGAATATAAATCATTCTATTATAAAGACACATGCACACATATGCTTATTGCAACACTAATCACAATAGCAAAGACATGGAATCAACCTAAATGCCCATCAATGACAGACTGGATGAAGAAAATGTGGTACATATACACCAAGGAATACTCTGCAACCACAAAAAGGAACAAGATTATGTCCTTTGCAGGGACATGGCTGGAGCTGGAGGCCATTATTCTTAGTAAACTAACAGGAACAGAAAACCAAATACTGCATGTTCTCACTTATAGTTGGGAGCTAAGTGATGAGAACACATGGGCACATGGTGGGGAAAAACACACGCTGGGTCAGTCAGAAGGTTGGGGGTGGGAAGAGGGAGAGGATCAGGAAGAACAGCTAATGAGCCAGGTGTGGTGCCTCACACCTGTAATCCCAGCACTTTGGGAGGCCGAGGTGGGCAGATCACTTGAGGTCAGGAGTTCGAGACCGGCCTGGCCAACATGGTGAAACCCCCGTCTCTACTAAAAACACACACACAAAAATTAGCTGGGCGTGGTGGTGCATGCCTGTAATCCCATCTACTGGGGAGGCTGAGGCAGGAGAATCGTGTGAGCCAGGGAGGCAGAGGCTGCAGTGAGCTGAGATCGTGCCACTGCACTCCAGCCTGTGTGACAGAGCAAAACTCTGTCATATATATACACACACACACATACACATATATATATACATACACACACACATACATACACACACATACACATACACATATATATACATATACATATACACACACACACACACACATATATATATAAAGTTTATCATGAGTGCTGAGTTTTCTGGCCCTCCCTTAAATTTGATGTCCAAGCCAAGTACCTTGCTCACCCCACCGGAGTCCCAGCCCTGCTTGCTGGAGGTGGTTGAAAAGTAACCCAAGATACATTTTCTTCCTGAGGAGCCAGCCCTTGGGTTAAAGTTTAATTTAGTGTGGTTTAAAAAAATTTTTTAAATAGATATCATTGTATATGACTTTTATGCACAGACTATCATTGAAAGGTTATCCAAAAACTAGTAATAGAGTTCACTTTGAGGGAGGGAAAATGGAACGATAGGAAAGAAGCTTGTCTTATACTTACATTATAAATTTTTTTTTTTTTTGAGACAGAGTCTCGCCCTGTCACCCAGGCTGGAGTGCAATGGCACGATCTTGGTTCACTGCAACCTCTGCCTCCCGAGTTCAAGCGATTCTCCTGCCTCAGCTTCCCGAGTTAGCTGGGGTTATAGGCGCCCGCTACCACGCCCAGGTAATTTTTGTATTGTTAGTAGAGACAGTTTCACCATGTTGGCCAGGCTGGTCTCGATCTCCTGACCTCGCGATCCGTCCACCTCAGCCTCTTAAAGTGCTGTTATTACAGGTGTGAGCCACCGCACCCAGCAGAAAATGTATTTTTAAACCTTTTTTTTTTTTTTTTTTTTTCAAGACAGGGTCTTCCTGTCACCCAGGCTGCAGTGCAATGGTACAATCATGGCTCACTGCAGCCTTGAATTCCTGGGCTCAAGCACTCCTCCACCTCAGCCTCCCAAGTAGCTGACAGGCATGCACCACCATGCCCAGGTAATTTCTTTTTCCTTTGGTATAGATGGTGTCTTGCTATGTTGACCAGGTTAGTTTTGATCTGTTGGCTTTCAGCAATCCTCCCCTCTCAGCCTCTCAAAGTGCTGGGATTACAGGTGTAAACCACCGCACCCAGCCTGTTTTTAAATTTTTAAGAGAAAATTTCTGAAGATAAATATATTTTTTCCTTATGACAATACTTGTAATAATCACAATACTTATTACAAACAATCAATACTTGTTTACTATGGAAAAATTAGAAAACATAAGATAAAGTAGGAAATAAAAACATTAAACATTTATACTTTCACTATCTAGCAATAATACTGTTAGTAAACATCTTGCTGTTTATCTTTTGTGCCCACCCATTTTCACTCCTGCACCCTCCATCACACTTCATATCATTACTGCCTTGGTTGGTTCTGACTTATTTCCAGATTTTATCTCCAACTAGCATATTCTGCTTGCAGAAGAGGGACTGTGTCTAATTGGTCTTTGTAAGTTTCCTAGAGTCTGGCTTTGGAGGCTTGGTCTGAACTAAAGACCTAGGAGACAGAACACCTGGGATTAAACCTCAATGCCACTGTTTCTGCAAGTTATATGGCCTTTCTGAGCTGCAGTTTCCTTATCTGTAAAATGGAATAATGTTAGAGCCTGCATTGTAGTGTTGCTCCATTATGAACATTGAAACAGGAAAATTCATGCAAATTGCTAAGCCTAGCATGTGCTGGTGCACAGTAATTTCTTGCTGTGATTACGTGTCAGCATGGTGCTTCCATTGATTAACTCACCTCACAGTTATTGCATGCTGGCTGTGTGACATGCCTCCAGGTGCTAGGGACGCAGCAGTAAATAAAACAGACACAAATCCTTGCCCTTGGGGAGTTCATATTCTATTGTCTGGGAAAGGGAGACAAACAATAAACAAATAAATACATAAAATACATAGTGTAGGCCGGGCACGGTGGCTCACGCCTATAATCCCAGCACTTTGGGAGGCTGAGGCAGGCGGATCATGAGGTCAGGAGATCGAGACCAGCCTGGCCAACATGGTGAAACCATGTCTCTATGAAAATACAAAAAATTATCCAGGCGTGGTGGCGCATGCCTATAGTCCCAGCTACTTGGGAGGCTGAGGCAGGAGAATTGCTTGAACCCGGGAGGTGGAGGTTGCAGTGAACTGAGATCACGCCACTGCACTCCAGCCTAGTGACAGAGCAAGACTTCGTAAAAACAAAAAACAAAAAAATATATATATATAAATATAATATATATATAGTGTAGCTGATGATATATGTATTGTGGAAAATATAAATCTTTGGACATAGTAAGATGTGCGCCGATTGACTAGTTTTTTTTTTATGTTAACATGTAGATGTTTATTACTCTTGTTTTTTAACAAATTAATATCTTTACAATATCTGAGTTTTAATTTCTAATAGAGTACGTATTAGTAGATATAACCCAAATAAACTGATGGTCTTTGGGGTCCTTAATAACTTTGAAGAGTGAAAAGAAATCCTTAGAACAAAATGTTTGAGATGCTGCCCTACCGCGTTTGATCATGGAAGCTTTTCCATGTGGAACAGCTTAAGTATACAATGGGTTTTCAAAAAGTTCATGAAAAATGCATATTATTTAACAACTATGCATGGATTTCCATTTTTTTTTTGCACCAAATAAACTTGTACTAACTTGTTGTAGCATGTCTGAAGAGGATCTAGGTTGAGTCTCTAAGAAGGATAAAACATCAGTTTGAAAAGACCGCCTATTAGAGAAACATGAATCCTGCTAAAATTGAAGCAAGAAGAAACATCAAACTTATGGTGAAGTTTGGGTGGAAGAATGGTGAAATCACTGATGCTTTACACAAAGTTTATAGGCACAATGCCCAAAGAAATCAGCAGTTTACAAATGGATAACTCATTTTTTTAAATTCTTTTTTTTTTAAATACTTTAAGTTCTAGGGTACATGTGCACAACGTGCAGGTTTGTTACATATGTATGCATGCCGATAGACCGTTTTTTCCCCAGACTCCCCTCCTCTGCTTTCTCTCTGTTCCAGTGTCCCCTTTCCAACGGGATTAAGTCACGTACACAGGGTCTGCAACAGAGACAGCACGCAGTGGGCCCTGGGTGTGCTATTTGGAAGGGCTGCGGCGTGGAAGAGCCAAGCCTCAAGATCATGGGACATTTGAACCTATGACGTCAGAATACATCAACAGGTGTTTTGATGTGAGTTTTCTTCCGGACCATCACACTGTTGTACTCTTATGTTTGCGCTCACCCATGATCAATAGTCATGGCACTGTGAAGTCAGGACAGTAAACAGTGGCCCATGGCTCTGTGTGGGGTGAGGGGCCGGCGTGCTGGCAGGAGGCCTTTATGATCCCAGGCAAGTCCTGACTGTGTCTGGCTGGCTGCTGCAGGACCTTTCACCATGTTTACCTTTGCTCTGCTCCCCAGCGGACGATGGTTGATGTCGCATTTCCAAACTGACTTCTACTTTGACCTCATACAGTGTGACGGTGAATAGACAACAGAATTGTAAGGCAAACACCTGTTTGTAAACAGAGAGAAGCCCAACCACCCTGGTCAAAATGAATGAGCCCAAGCCTAAAATCAATCAGAGTGTGGGCAAGAAGGTTGCCTTTTTAAAGGAAAAATAAAACTTAGAGCCTGTTTTCCATAAGCATGTGCTTTCCATAGCACATTTAGCACTGTGATAAATGTAGGGTGTTCTTGTGAGGAGATTTTAAGTATGTGAAAGTTAATTTATTCCTGCAATCTTCTCATATCCAAGCCTTAACAAATGAGTTCTTGCAAAGTTGAAATCATCACACTATATACGTAATCTTTTTTTCACTATTATGATGGCTAAAATTCCTCAACACAGATTGTTTGCTACAAACTGGCATGGGATTTGTTTTAATACTGCTTACTTTGTGTGTATCGTAACGCTTAAAAACGATTAAGATTTGTAACTTTTCCTTTTCCCAAATGTAAAGTTTTCCACCAAAACTACAAAAAAATCCATTAGTTTCCCTGCATGGTAGTCAGTCTTTATAAAACAGTCGCCAAGCCTTGCCTCCTGGTGTTCACACCCTTCCCATAGCCCATGTAACCAACAGGAGGCTGCAGAAGTGGTAATGTACAACTTCCAAGGCTGAGTCACAAAAGACACTGAGCACTCCCCCAGCTCTCCCTTGCTTTGAGGAAGCTGGCCGCCATGTTGTGAGAACACTCAAGCAGCCCTTCAGAGCCAACCAGCATCAATTTGCCAGCCATGTGAGTTAACCTCCTTGGAAGCGGATTTAAGACTCTGATGGCTGTAGCCCTGGCTGACATACTCACTGCAACCTCATGAGAAACTGAGCCAGAACCACCCAAATAAAACATTCCCCAATTCCCTAACCCTCAAAAGCTGCACAATTGTAAATGTTAACTGTTGCTAACGACATACTAAGTTTGAGGTCATCTGTTACACAGCAATAGATAACTAATGTTTTCTGTGTACATAAATATCTATAAATGCTTAGGAAGGATCTAGAAAGATGCACATGGGGAATGTGGTGAACTTGGAAGAGGTGGAGTAGTAGCAAAGAAATTAATACTTTTGTCTGTATCACTTTAATTTTTCCGCCAAGTGCATATATGTATGTTTCAATGATATAATTAAAAATAAATTTAGGGGTTCACTGCAGTAGCAACCCCCGGTAATCCTTGGAGCGGGCCTGAGAGACAAAGACATGTGGATCCCAGTGGCCGGATTTCCTCCTCGGCTGAGGCTCTCCGCCTTGGGGGGCGCTGGTCGCTTTTGCATTTTAGGGTCTGGAGCGGCGATGCGAAAGCACTTGCCGGCGAGGAACCGCCGTGGCCTGTCTGACTCCTCTCCGCAGCTGTGGCCGGATCCGGATTTCAGGAACTCACCAAGGAGGGTGTTAAACTCCATCTTAGACTTTAAGCGTTACGTAACCAATCGGAGATTGGCTGAGACCCTGGCGCAAATCGTATGGAGAAAACAAAATAGACCTCCACACCTATTGCTGCAGTGCAGTCCAGGTCCTGGAATCCTGACTCAGGCATTACTTGAAATTGGTGCCAAAGTGGTTGCCCTTGAAAGTGACAAAACTTTTATTCCACATTTGGAGTCCTTAGGAAAAAATCTGGATGGAAAACTACAAGTGATTCACTGTGACTTCTTTAAAATAGATCCTAGAAGTGGTGGAGTAATAAAACCACCCGCTATGGCTTCTCAAGGGCTCTTTCAGAATTTGGGAATAGAAGCAGTTCCTTGGACAGCAGGCAGCCCTTTAAAAGTAACTAGAATGTTCTCAAGTAGAGGTGAAAAAAGGGCCACTTTGGAAACCTGCATATGACGTATTCCTGTACTTCTAGATATAAATTTGGACGAATAGAACTAAATATGTTTATTGGTAAAAAAGAATTCCAGAAACTAACGGCAGATCCCCGAAATCCAGACTTGTATCATGTATGAAGTGTTATCTGGCAAGTAGCTTGTGAGATTAAGGTTCTGCACATGGAGGCTTGGTCGTCATTTGATGTATACACCCAAAATGGGCGGCTGGAAAACCCAAAGTGTAGGGAATTATTGGAGCTATTACAACAAAATCTGTATCTTACTCGAATGACTCCTCATGGAAATTTATTTACCGAGAACTTAACACCTATTAACTGTAATATATTTTTTCACATGTGAAAGCACTGTTTTGGGAGGTGCAGTGCCAATCTAATAGACCACTTAAGTTCACTGACTCCACTTGGTGCAATGGATATATTGATGCAAATAGGAAAAAAGGAAGAAGAGAAAATAACTAACATGTACCCTCAAGACTTCAAAAAACTTTTTGAAACTATAGTGTTCCAAAGATTGTGCTTATAAATGGCTATATGATGAAACCCTGGTAAATATGTAGCAACTAGACTGTCGTTTTTGGTGGAGCAGTTTATTTATTTGGAAACCATGACATGAAAACCAAATTTGAAAGCTCACATCCTTTCAGCAGAAGATAACTGTTCTTGTTTTGCACATGACACGTAGATCATTTCTCCTGAAGTTGATATCATTGGCATATTGGATGAAACAGTGGCTGCTATTTTATTCACAATTGAATAAAGTGAAAACTTCAATTAATTGTGGATTTGATCAGATTGAATTCCTTTTGTTTCAGATTCCTATTTAAATATTTCACTTTCACTGTTGCTGATTTTTGCATCTTCTTGAGGAGCAAGAGTCTGTACATTATTAAGCTTAGAAAGTAAACAAAACTGATTTACTGATTTGTTTTGCATTTCAGTTTGTTGAAATGTATTGTCAAGTACTACAGAATGAAATTGTTTAAATTTTAATATGATTTAAACTTTTTTAGAAATTAAAATATTTTAAATAAAAATAAATATATAAATGTAAAGCCAAAGCTTGGAAGCAACGAAGATGTCCTTCAGTAATGAATGCATAAGTAAACTGTAGTATATCTAGACAATGGAATATTATTCAGCAGTAAAAAGAAACACACTGTCAAGCCACAAAAAGACATGGAGAACACTGAAGTGCATATGACTTAAGTGAAAGAAGCCTGGAAAGGCTATATACTGTATGATTCTAACTATGACATTCTGGATAAGGCAAAACTTGGAGTTAGGAAGAGCAGTGGTTGCCATGGTTTAGGGTAGAGAGGGATGAGTAGGCAGAGCACAGAGGTTTTAGGGCAGTGAAACTATTCTGTATGACACTGTAATGGTGGATACGTAACATTATTAAAACCCGTAGGATGTGCAACACCGAGACTAAGCCTTGATGTAAACTATGGACTTTAGTTTAAAATAACGTATCCAGCTAGAAGAGCACATTTTAATGTTCCCAACACAAAGAAACGATGAATGTTTTAGGTGATGGACATGCTTAATTCCCCTGATTTGATCACTACACTTTGTGTACATGAATTGAAATACCACACTGTACCCCATAAATATGTACAATTGTGTTTCAACTAAAAATAATAATAAGGCTAGCCACAATGGTTCGCCCTTGTAGTCCTAGCACTTTGGGAGGCTGAGGCGAGAGGATTGCCTTGAGGCCAAGAGTTCAAGACCAATCTGACCAATATAGTGAGACCCTCGTCTCTATAAAAAAAAATTTTAAGCAAAAAGTTAATTGAATTTAAAAAATATATGATACAAAAGAATGTATCAATGTCTCATCAGCTGTAACAAATACATTACATTCATATTCATTGTTAACAGAGCAAACAGTGAGCTTGGGTTGCTGAGGGGTGTATGGGAAAGCTGTACCTTCCACTCAATTTCTCTGTAAACCTAAAACTGCTCTAAAAATAAAACATATTAATTATTTTTAAAATAAAATAAAATTTAAAAGATGACTAAAGACAAATAGACAAACATAGATATCACGTCTCGTTTGCCGTTCAGGGCTTGCTGGGATAGAACTTTTCCGGGCTAGGTGGGAAGGCTGATTCATTTGTCACCCTTATTTCTGCTCCCACCTTTTTTTTTCAGCCAGCAGATGGGATAAAATTCCAAAAACCTTGACTTTGGAATAAAGAACATTCTAAAACCTGGGTCCCTTTCAAGCGTGTATTGTTAGAAACAGGCTCCCAAAAGCCAAACACAAGTTGAGAATGGGCTCCCAGGAAGTGCTAAGAGGCTCTGGGGACCCAACAGATGTGGAAGAACTCAGCCGTGAACCTCACTGCATGGCTTTAGGCCACAAGACAGGCAGCTCCCACCGGAGCCACTGCCCCTGGCCTGGCAAGTCAACCCCTTCGCCCAGAGGCCTAGTGTGCCCAGACAGTTCCTGGGACCAGCGCATGCCACTTTCTGGGGCAGGTTCCCGACATGCTGGGGTGAGCAGAGAGATGAACAGGACTGTCCAGGGTCTGGGGAACCGGGGCAGCCTGAAGAGGGGCTGGGTGGGACCAGGCTGGGCAGGGATGAAGGCTGAGTCTGCTCCCGGGAGATGGCTCCCCAACTGTGGTCCACGGTGGCACCCACATGTGATCTGTTGGGGGAGGAAGCCACACACACCAGGAGCAGTGCCTCTCACTCACTGAACAAACATCACTCCAGGCCAAGCTCAGTGCTGGGGAGACATAGGTGAACAAGCCTGGGTTCCAGGGATCGGGAGCTTCTTCCAGTGGGGTTCAGATTGTGTCAGAATAAACAACCACACAAGGGTGTAAGTAGCGTCCCATGGCGACAACTGATGTGAAAAAACCAAAGCAAGGGAAGGAGACCAGGAGGATAGGCCTGGGGGAGGGGCCAGGTAGGATGGGGGTCGGGAAAGGCTTGTGGGGCTGGAAATGGGCGGTTGGCTAACGTGCCTTCCAGGGACTCCAATCTCCCCAGAAGAGCACCAGGTCCTCCCTGAGGGCTACAGTGCATCCGAAAAGCCCAGGGTCAGCCAGGTCTCGGTGCACAGAATGCTTCATGAGGACCAAGGCTTTAGTCGGTGGATGAAGTGGCCGTCCCGTCTGTGCCAGTTTCAGTGCCTTCCTAAAAAAGAAAAATCAAAGCTTGCTGCCCAGTTTGCCCCATTCAAAAAAAATCCTATTCAGGAAGACTTTGTATTGAGGGAAAATGTCCACAGGTGACTCCTCTTGTGCCTGTTGAGAAGGAGGTGCAGAGATGGAAATGACTCATGGGAAGCTGCTTTGTGAACGAGCAGACCCAGTGGTTCGATAATGGATGCCCACACCACCCTCCACCACGGTCCACTTGACCACAGGATAGTCAGCGGCACATGAGTCCTTCCAAGGGCCCTTGCCAGTGTGACCTCCTCCTTCCCTTCCCCTCCTGGCTTGCGGCAGGCTTTGATTTGCTCCAAATCCAATGGTTGCATTCATCAGAGATCACAGATTCTAAAGTGTGCAGCCTCTCCCATGAGGTTCTAATTCCAGAAGTCACCTGACAGAGCCAGAAATGCATGGACCACTTGCACAGAGAAGTAAATTATGTCCTGAGAGTCGCCTGGATCCTGGGGAGGTGGAAAACTGTCCTCAAACAGGATGTGTTATGTGTTTTCAGTAGAAGAGCCAGCTGGCAGCTCACCTGCAGCTCTGAGCAAGGGAGGCTTCTAATCCTTCCTGCCATGCTGCCTCGGTGATACCATCCCTTTGGCCACATTTGTCTTAGGCCTTTATTAAAAGGGAAGGGTGAATTAAATAAAACAATGATGTGGAAGAAAAATGCAGATAGGTCATGAAATTCAGGGGAAATGATATTATTAAGAAATGAAAATAAGGCCAGACATGGTGGCTCTCAGCACTTTGGGAGGCTGAGGTGGGAGGATCACTTGATGCCAGGAGTTCGAGACCAGCCTGGGCAACACAGTGAACCCTGTCTCTAAACATATATATATATGTTAATATATGTTATAAATATATTAATTAATATGTATTATAAATATTATCAACATATAAATATATAATTAATATATATTAATTAGCTGGGGTGTTGGTGTGCACATGTAGTCCTAGCTACTTGGGAGACTGAAATGGTAGGATCACTTGAGCCTAGGAGTTTGAGGCTGCAGTGAGCTATTATCGCACCACTGCACACTAGCCTGGGCAACAGAGCGAGACCCTATCTCAAAAAAAAAAAAAAAAAAAAAGAAGAAGGAAGGGGAAGAAGAAATAAAGAAATGAAAATAATAGTATTTTAAGCCAGGAGAATAGAAGGAAGAAAATGGCAAAGTATCAGTATTAAACACCCCGCTATTGTGGAGGTGGTACGAAAGTACCAGAGTTAATTATAAAAAAGTTGAGCAATGCACACATATAAAAGACCTCCATTGCTAGAGAATTACAAAGGTGATAACATTCTCAATTATGGCATAAATATTCCATCTCTGGGTCTTGCGTCTTATTCATGGTGTTCATTTCTTCCAGTGCTTTGTAATTCATTGTGTGTGAACTGATTTTTGTGAGTTTTCTATGGGACTCCCGTGAGCTCTGGGTGGCTGCGGAATAGAACAGTACAAGACTTCCTGTTGCCAGAGTCTCTGGGGATTTCAATGGTCATGGATCGGTTTTGTGTTCGTTTTTCAGGTTTTAGTTCTTGCACCATGCAGGTAGTTAGATTCAGATCCCAACCCCATAGCCCCTAGCCACCTTCAGCGTTTGCTATTGAACACACATTTGATCTGCGTAAGCCTGGTAAGTGAAAAGCTTGGGAGGCAACTAATATTTCTGCATTTCTCTCATTATTTATGACATAGATAGGATTAACCTTTTTTATTTTACAATTGTTCACTATCTTGTATAAAATAAGGGCAAAATGCAATAAGATATTCAAACAATTGTGAAATCATCGTTTTGCTATTGTGAAACAAAGGTGGCAGTTCAGCCAAAACTGAACTATTGACTGACAGGCAGGCCTCTGCACGTGGTGTGACAGTTTGTGCATGAAAATAGACAACTTCTAGTAAATCAGGTTTGGGTTAAAAGAGACAAAAATCTAAAGCTGATAAATAAATTAAAATCAGAAAAATAGAAGAAATGAAGGATTAAAAATTAAACACTAAGAAGTTAAAAGTAAAATAATCCCTCACCAAAAAATACAATTAATTAACTGTCTTTTTAATTAATTAAGTGACCTGCATGGCCAGCCTCCTGTGTGAAGGACCTGAGAGGACTATAAACTGTTTCTGAGCCTCTCCTGTGTCCCCTCTTGAGGCTGCACCTGACTGGCTGTCCCCTAAATTTAAGAACACAGAACAGTATAGGATAAAGGTGGCATTCAAAATTGGTCGAGAAAATATGAATTATTTAATAAATACCACTGGTATAACTAGTTGGCTATGGGGTGGGCAGAATCTCTCTGAATTCTAATTCTCAAAATAAATTCCAGATAAATTGAAAAATATAGCTGGGCACGGTGGCTCACGCCTGTAATCCTAGCACTTTGGGAGGCTGACGCAGGTGGATCATCTGAGGTCAGGAGTTCGAGACCAGCCTGGGCAACACAGTGAAACTCCGTGTCTACTAAAAATACAAAAATTACCCAGGTGTGATGGCGCATGCCTGTAATCCCAGCTACTCAGGAGGCTGAGACATAAGAATAACTTGAACCCGAGAGGCAGACGTGTGAGCTGATTTTTGTGAGTTTTCTATGGGAGTGCTATGGAGATGGTACCACTGCATTCCAACCTGGGTGACACAGTGAGACTTTGTCTCAAAAAAAAAAAAATACAAAAATCGAAACTCAAGGGGACTATAAGAAAGTGTAGGCAACTAAAAAAAACCTTCACTGGGCAAGACCTGACTTAAGCAAGAAACAAAACCAAAAGGCCTACATGAATGTACCTGCAAAGCATAAACAGTAATGTACCTGCTTAAAAATCCAACATTTTTTCATGGCAAAAATTATAACAAACAAATCCAAAAGACAATCAACACACAGAGATCAATATTCCCACCATCTTTGAAAAAAAGGCTCACTCTTTGGAGGGCAATAAAATAATATCTATCAATGTTTTAAAAGAAATAGTTTTGACCTAAGAACTCTGCTTCTAGAACTTGATCCCACACTTTCGTGTGTACATATGTATTTCACTGAAGCACTGTTAGTAACAGGAAAAGACCAGAAACAATGTACATGCTCATTAAAGAGGGGACAAGTTCAATATATTATGGGACATCCAGATTTCATGTTGGAGGGGCCAAAGGAAAACTTCCCCTTTGCCTTCTGAAT